>NC_000011.10:56040225-56343255 GCF_000001405.40 Homo sapiens | reverse complement strand
GATATAGCCATGCATAATTTAGAGTTCAAACACAAACTCAAAGAGAACTTGAAATGGAGGAAAGGATGAAAAATAATAACAAAAATATTACATCTAAGAAAAAAATGGCAATAAGTAGAAAGTATGTCTTCCAACATCTGTAATTACTTTTTTTTTTTAACTTTCAAGTTTTATTTTAGATACAGAGATACATGTGCAGGATTGATACATGGGTATATTGCATGATGCTGGGGTTTGGGGTATGGGTCCCTTCACTCACATAAGCAAGCATAGTACTCAATAAGTAGTTTTTCAACAGACACCCTTGTCCCCCTTCTTGTAGTCCACAGTGCCTATCTTTCCTATGTTTATGTTTAAGCTCCCACTTAAAAGTGAGAACACGTAGTATTTTGTTTTCTGATTCTGTTTTAATTATGGCCTCTAGCTGCATCATGTTGTGGCAAAGAACATGATTTTGTTCTTTTTTATGGCTGCATAGTACTCCAGGGTGTATATGTACCTTATTTTCTTTATCCAATCCACCATTGATGGGAACGTATGTTGATTTCATGCCTTTGCTATTGTGAATAGTGTGATGATGAACATACTTGTGCACGTGTCTTTTTGGTGGAATGATTCATTTTCCTTTTGAATGTATAGCTGGTAATGGAATTGCTGGGTCAAATGGTAGCTCTGTTTTAAGTTTTTGGGAAATCTCCAAACTGCTTTCCACAGTGGCTGAAATAATTTACATTCCCATCAGCAGTGTATAAGCATTTTCTTTTCTTGGCAGACTTGCCAGCCTCTGTTTTTTTGTTTTGTTTTGTTTTGTTTTTTAGTAATGGCCATTCTTACTGGTGTCAGATGGTATCTTGTTGTGATTTTGATTGGCATTTCTGATGATTAGTAATGATTAGCATTTTTTATCTGTTTGTTGGCCACTTGTATGTCTTCTTTTGAAAAGTGCCTGTTCATGTCCTTGGCCCATTTTTTAATGGGGTTGTTTTTTGATTGATGGTTGGTTTAAGTTCTTTATAGAGTCTGTGTATTAAACCTTCATCAGATGCAGTTTATGAATATTTTCTCCAATTCTGAAGATTGTCTGTTTATACTGTTGACAGTTTATTTTGCTGTGCACAAGCAATTTAGTTTAATTAGGTCTCACTTGTCAAATTTTTGTTTTTGTTGCAATTGCTTTTGCAGACTTATCCAAAAATTAATTTCCAAGGCTGAGGTCAAAAGGTTATTTCCCAGGTTATCTTCCAGGATTTTTATAGTATGAAATTTTACATTTAAATCTTTCATCCCTCTTGAGTTAATTTTTGCATATGGTGAAAAGTAGTGAGTACAGTTTCAATATTCTGCATATGGTTAGCCAGTTATCCCAGAACTATTTATTGAATAGTGAGTCCTTTCCTCATCTTTTTTTTTTTTTTTGGTCAGCCTTGTCAAAGATCACATGGTTGTAGTTGTATGGCTTTATTTCTGAGTTTTCTCTTTTGTTCCAGTGATCTGTGTGTGTGACAGTATCATGCTTTTTTAGATTACTGTAGCCTTACATTATAGTTTGAAGTTCAGTTGAGTGATCTTTGTTCTTTTTGCTTAGGATTGCTTTGTGTATTTTGGCTCTTTTTTGACTTCATATGAATTTTAGATTTTTTTTTGAATATTTTGTTCTAATTCTATGAAGAATGATGTTAGTATTTTGATATGAGTAGCATTGAATCCATAAATTACTTTGACAATATGGTCACTTTAACAATATTGATTCTTCCTGTCCATGAGCTTGCAATGTATTTCCATTTGTTTGTGTCGTCTCTGATTCGTTTCATGAGTGTTTTGTAGTTCTCTTTGTAGAGTTCTTTTACCTCCTTCATTAGCTGATTCCTTGGTATTTTTTTCTTTGTGGATACTGTAAATGGGATTGTGTTCTTGATTTGACTCTTAGCTTGGACATTTAGGAGGCTTTTGGTGGAAGCTTTAGGGTTTTCTACATACAGAATCATATAATCAGTGAAAAGAGATAGTTTGACTTTTTCTATTTCTACTTTTATGCCTTTTTTTTTGTTGGTGTTCTTGCCTGGTTACTCCAGCTAGAACTTCTAGTGCTATGTTAAATTGGTGTGGTTAGAGTGGGCATCCCTGTTTTATTCCAGTTCTCAGGGGAAATGGTTCCAGCTTTTGCTTTTTCAGTATGATGTGGCTGTGGGTTTATCACAGATGGCTTTTATTATTTTCGGGTACATTCCTTCAATGCCTAGTCTGTTGAGGGTTTTTATCCTGAAGGGATATTGGATTTTATAAAAGGCATTTTCTACATATATTGAGATGATTGTATGTTTTTGTTTTTAATTCTGGTTGTGTGTTGAATCATATATATTGATTTGCATGTGTTGAAATAGCCTTGCATCCCAGGAGTAACGCCTACTTGATTATGAGGTTTTAACTTTTTGATATGCTGCTAGATTCAATTTGCTAATATTTTTTGAGGATTTTTGCATCTATACTAATCAAGAATATTGGACTGAAGTTTTCTTTTTTTGCTGTGTCTCTGCCAGATTTTGGCATCAGGAAGATGCTGCATTCATAGAATGAGTTAAGGAGGAGTCTCTCCTCCTCAATTTTTTGTATTATTTTCAGTTGAATTGGTACCAGATCTTTGTACACCTGGTAGGATTAGGCTGTGAATTCATCTAATCCAGGGCTTTTTTTTTTTTTTTTTTTGGTTGGCAGGTTTTTTTTTTTTTTATTACTGATTCAGTTTTAGAACTAAAAATTTGTCTAGTCAGGGTTTTAATATAGTCCTAATTCAACCTTGGGATATTGTGTGTTTCCAGGAATTTATTCATTTCATCTAGATTTTCTAATTTGTGTGCATTGAGTTCATAGTTTTCTCTGAGGATGTTTTGTATTTTATGGGAACAATGTAATATCAAATTTTTATCTCTGATCTAGCTAATGGTCTATCAATCTTGTTTAATTTTTCAAAGAATCAACACTTGGTTTAATTGATCTTTTGTGTAAATTTTTGTGTCTCAACTTTGTTCAGTTCTACTCTACATTTTCTCCTGCTAGCTTTGGAGTTGATTTGTTCTGTTTTTTGTTTGTTTGTTTGTTTTTCCCTAGTACTTGTAGGTGCAAAATTAGACTTTTAGTTTGAGATCTTTTAACTTCTTATTGAAGGTATTTAGCACTATAAACTTTCCTCTTAATACTGCTTTAGCTATATCCCAGATATTTTGGTAAGTTGTCTCCCTATTTTCATTACTTGAAAAGCATTTTTAAAATTTATGCCTTAATTTTAATTTTGATGTTAACCTAAGAGTTATTCAGAACAAAATTGTTTAATCGTCATTTTTTTTATTTTGAGGGATGTCCTTGATATTAATTTCTATTTTTATTGCATTGTGGTGTGAAAGTGTGCTTGGTATGATTTTGATTTTTCTAATTTGTAGAGACTTGCTTTATTACTGAACATATGGTCAATGAGAAGAATGTCTATTCTGTGGTTGTTGGGCAGAGTGTTCTGTAGATGTCTATTAGATTTAGTTGGTCAAGTGTCAAGTTTAAGCCCAGAGTTTCTTTGTTAGGTTTCTGCCTCAAAGATCTGTCTAATGCCATCAGTGGGAAGTTGAAGTCTCCCACTATTATCTTGTGGCTAAATATTTTCATAGATCAAGTACAACTTGTTCTATGAATCTCAGTTCTCCAAAGTTGACTGCATATTTGTTTAGGATAGTTAAGTCTTCTTATTGGATTGTATACTTCATCATTATGTAATATCTGTCTCTGTCCTTGTTATTGTTTTAGTCTATTTTATCTGATACAAGAACAGTGACTCCTTCTCTTTTTTTTTTTTTTTTTCATTTGCATGGTAGCTCTTTCTTTGTCCCTTTACTTTGAGCCTGTGGGTGTTAATACATGTGAGATAGGTCTCTTAAAAGTAGGAGATGGTTGAGTCTGTCTTTGTATTCAGCTTGCCCATTTACATTTAGTATTAGTATTGAAATGTGAGATTTTAATCTGTCATTGTGCTTTTAGCTGGTAGTTATGTAGACTTGATTGTGTAGTTGTTTTATAGTGTCTGTGGGCTGTATGCTTAAGTGCATTTTTGCTTAAGTGCAATAAGTGTCCTTATTTTGATTCCATGTTTAGGACCTCCTTGAAGACTTTTTGTAAGCCTGGTCTAGTTGAAACAAATTCCCTTGTCTGAGAAAGATTTTATCACTCAATCACTTCTGAAGTTAGTTTGGTGAAATATGAAATCTTGGTTGGAATTTCTTTTTTTGGAGACTGCTGAAAATAGGTGCCAATTTCTTCTGGCCTTTAAGATTTCTGCTGAGAGGTCCGTTGGTAGGCGGATAAGGTTCTCTTTGCATGTTATCTGACCCTTTTCTCCGGCTGCCTTTAAGATTTATTTCCTTTTGCATTGACCTTGGTGAATCTTATGGCTATGAGCCTTTGGGATGGTTTTCTTGTACAGTATCTATCTGGTGCTCTCTGTATTTCTTGAATTTGCATATCAATCTCTCTACCGAGTTTAGGGTAATTTTTGTGGACTATGTCCTCTTATGTATTTTCCAAGTTGCTTATTCCTTCTCCTTCTTTCTCAGGAAAGCTAACAAGTTGTAGCTAAGAAATATAGGAATATTTCTTAGAGGTTTTGTTTATTTTTAAAATTATTTTTCTTTTCTGGGCCGGGTGCAGTGGCTCATGCCTATAATCCCAGCACTTTGGGAGGCCGAGGCGGGTGGATCACGAGGTCAGGAGATCAAGACCATCCTGGCTAACACAGTGAAACCCCGTCTCTACTAAAAATACAAAAAATTAGCCTGGCATGGTGGCAAGCGCCTGTAGTCACAGGTACTCAGGAGGCTGAGGCAGGAGAATGGCATGAACCCGGGAGGCGGAGCTTGCAGTGAGCTGAGATTGTGCCACTGCACTCCAGCCTGGGCGACAGAGCAAGACTCCGTCTCAAAAAAAAAATTATTTTTCTTTTCTTTTCAGACTGAGTTGATTGGAAGAACTGGTTTTTGAGCTCTAAGATGCTTTCCTCAGCTCGATCTATTCTGCTGTTAATACTTCACATTAGTTCTTTCTTAAAATGTCTGCATCACCTCTTGAACCATTTTACTGAATTTCTTGGATTCCTTAGATTGGGTTTTAAATTTCTTCTGAATCCTGATCATCTTTATTGCTACCCAGATTCTGAATTCTATGCATGTCATTTCATTCATTTCTGACTGGTTAAGAACCATTCCTGGAAATCTAGTGGGCTCACTTTAAGGTAAGGGTACACTCTGGCTTTTTGAATTCCTAGAGTTCTTGTGCTAATTCTTTCTCATCTGGGAAGACTGTTGTTCCTTTAATTGTGATGTAAATTGAGTATAGTCGGTTGGCTTTGTTTCTAGATGTTTTCAGAGGGCCAAGGCTCTGTACAGAGTCTTTATTTGTGGCTATATGCTTGCCCTTTGTTTCACAGGAGGGTATAATAGCAAAATATTTTTGGTGTTGTAGTTTGAGCTGCTATCCAGGAGATGATGCTTAGGAGTAATGGCCAGTAGATAAGCTCTGACTCAGCTGCATGGCTTCTTTTGTATTTTCTTGTGTGTGCCTGCTGTGTGGAGGGAAGAGAAGTGACCCCTCTCACTAGCTTCACTCCTGGACCTTAGAGGAGCCCCTTCTGATTATTGGAACCACACCTGCATTTCTTTTGTTAGGTGTTCCAGGCCACAGGACTCCCTTGGGCAGAAGCTTTATTAGGGAGGTAGTCCACCTCCTTTCAAGACCAGCTCTGCAGAAGACACCATGCCAGATTATGAACTTGTGCATCTCAACCCTCTCAGTCCTCTGAGAATGTAGGGTCCTCTCCCAGACAAGTACAAGCCACAGATCTTGGATTGGTGCTCCCAACCTGCATGCCATAGCCCTGGGGCACCAGAACTGGTTCACAGCTTAATTCTCTGTACCTTAGGGATTGGGTTCTGAGTGTGCTAGAGAATCCAAAATGCTCCCACCCCACCAGTTACATACTGAAGTAGAGCAAAACATCCAGCCTGGGCAACAGAGTTTGCACTGTGCATACACTTCTGTGGGGTAGCCAGGCAGGGGCCATGGGAGGGGCTAGAAGGCAGGAAATTTCTGCAGAACAGATAGGCCCCATTTCCAAGGGGAAGTTGTCTCTGCTTTCTCCGAGCCTAGCAGTCAGCTGGGGATAGAGCTTCCCAAAGGGAGATTTAGAGCCCTAGGGGATGGACACATATGGCCATGTTCCACTGGAGCTCTTCCATGCACAAAGGCCCCCAGCTCCACTCCAATGAAGCCTTGTCTCTGTCTACTGTCTGGATAGATTCTCCTGCCAGCTCAAATGTTCATCATGAGATGGGGTTGCCTGTAGCTAGGATTTCAGAGGTTCACAGTGAGAGTGAGCCATTCCACAGTCCTTTCTCTCATCCATTCCCCAGGAGCTATTTGGTGACTTGGAGCTAGCTCTAGCATTCAAGTATTCCACTCAGGGTTTCCAGCTTCTTTTATCTTCAACCTCAGAGCCTGCATTACTTCTCCATTCACTCTTGGTGTTTTCTCTCTGAAGATCTGTTCATATTATGTTGGTTTACTCATAATTTAGTTTCTCCCAACGGGAGCAGAACTTCTTGGCTTGTCTGATCAATCATTTTGCCCCTCTCCTGACTAATCAGTATCTGTAGTTACTTTAAGTGTAAATGAATTACATTATCCATTTAAGAGGCAGAAATTGCCAGAATTAATTTAATAAAAATCACCCAAATATATGCTTCCTGCAGATTATTCTCATAATTTAAATTGTTGCTTTAGTTTTTGAAAATAATATTGAGAAGATACCTTTTCTAAAAAAAATTAAAGAAATGAACACATATTTTATTGATGTAGAGTTTAATAAGTGTTTATATGGCAAGGAATATGAGCTTCTATACAATAACTAAAGAAAACATTGAATCAGAAGCAAGAGACGTTGATAAGAACTTCACATTTAATTGAGATATAAAACTTGAAGATTGGTTTGCCTAAAGAAAAGGAAAAACCTATTTGTGTGTGTTATACCCAGTTTTTGCTGTGGAGCCCAAAATAATGTATTTATATGTACTAGAAATATTCATTAGTGACATTTGCCTCTATCATAGCTTCCTAGAACAATATTCCATATTGACCATTAAATTACAAAGTTTTCACTGCTTCATAAAAAAACTATAGAAGGCATTTTTTTTACTCCCTTTGTTCTTTACACTACAGACCAAATGGTAAAGCATGGTAATCACTAAAGAGGAAAACATGGAGGTCATTTTATTATTATCAAAAAAAAAGGAACTGAATTTGAGCTGCAAGTACATAAAGTATAGAAACCCACAGAACACAACCACCACTATCAGACAAGAAACATACGTGAAGAAAGTTTTTTACTGCTCTCTGCAGAATGCATTCAACAAACAGTTAATAGAATCAGCATGGAGGACATTAGGACTACCAGAAGAAAGAATATCAAATTAAGTACTGAAAATAGTGTGATCAACATTTCTATTCCTCATGCATTTGAGTCCACCATGGCTAACAAAGAAACATCTTAACAGTAGAAATAACTTATGACATTGGAGCCATAGAAGGCCAATATAAAAATCTTTATAGTGACCATCAGAGCTTGAAAGGTACTATAAAGGTATGGAATACCACCAGCACATGACAAAGTTCCTGAGACATAACATTTTATGGCAGAAGGCTATGGATGTCCACATAGTGGTCATAGGCCATGGCTGATGAGACGAAAAGTTCACAGATAATGAACATAATGAAGAAAGCCATCTGCATGGTACATGCATAACAGGGAATGGCATTTTGAGCCACAACAAAGTTTACCAGTATCTTGGGATAAATGACCATAGAATTACCAAGATTAATAAAATTCAGGTACCTGATTTAAAAAATACACAAATGTTGTGTAGACCCAAGTCCACATTGTTCAAAATGATTATGCACTCTTTGCTCACCACTGTGAATGTGCAGATGATGAGGAAGACCCAAAAAAGGGAGAGCTGCAGCTCAAGCCGCCTTGTGATTTCCATCAGAATTAATTCAGTAAGCACTGTTAGATTCTTTTGGCCCATTTAGTCCAGTTATCTCTTCCAGGAAGAAACAGAACAGTTGTTAAAAGATTTTATGTAATGTCATCTAAACAAATTATAACATTTGTAGACAAAAGGTGTTATTCACGATAGGTAATAAACATTATTTCTACATCTGATCCTAAAACTAAAAAAAAAAAAAACAAGAAAACTTCTATCAAAAGAAGGGACCCATATTAAATACACATATAATTATGAGGTAAGTTAAACTGTAAATATCAATAATGTTTGGAACACATCAATTGATAACAAAATTATATAGTTATTAATATGGAAATGTTAGACTTTATTTCACCCACACAGTGGCGTCACAGTTTTTTTTTTCTAGTATACTTCCATATTTTCCAAAGAATTCTTGTGGAATTGTGCTATTATTAAAAAGTGAGATAGAGATAGCATGAAGCTACTGTTGTTTAAATTTTAGTTTCCCTCACTTGCACTTTCTGGGTAGGGATTTAACAATAAACTCACAAGTAATATGTCTTTGTGAAAATTCTGTAAGCAAAGATATTTTAACCATGACCAACTAAGGCCACTTTCCATTAATATTCTGACTTCCACTTCATCACACTTTATCTGACAAAACAGTGCATTAGCATATCTGCAGGCATTTTTAGGACCCAGCTAACAAAGGATTGAGTTAATGATACTTTGATGTTTAATGGGTATATTTATATGGCTCAAAATCAATGACATTATTAAATAATGCTATCTCTTTTGGTGTAGGAATGATCACTAAGAACACCCTTACCACCAAATGTGCAGAGATTTGTCTGGAATTTCATTAATAAAATAATATTTATAGATTTTATGATTTTTTGACCTTTGGTTTATGACAAAATTTGTATTATTTTTTCTTTTAAATATTTACATATATTTCAACTTAAATGTGTAATTTTATTTTTTAAGAAAAAAGAAAAACTCCCAAACTAATATAAGCTTAATGATTACCAACATGTGCATCTATTCCTACTAAAATATTTGTTTTATGTCAATACAGAGGGATTATGAATATTTAATTTTATAAGTTTTATTTCCTTTAAGATATCACTGTGAAAATAACAGAGTTTAGAGGGCATTTAAAAGCATTGAGCATTTATTACATCACATATAAATTACCGTTTATTTCTAATATTGCCCCATAGAATACAGATCATTACACTGTGATTTTCAAACATTTCAGTGATAAGTACTGGTCCTCTATTTAATCTAATTAATGTGGGACATGAGCAAAAAAAAGTGGAACAGGTCTGATTAAAGTTAGTAAAATCTGCTTTAGCCTAATCTCTTTGTCTCTCCTCTTCTACCATTCAGTTTCTCTTCAGTGAAAACATGGAACTCTGCAAGCATGAATTTCAATTCGAGCAGTAGTTGCATTTTAAAATATTCAGTCAAATAAAATACAGAATTTAGTTATAACTTCATGGAATGTCAGGTTTAACCCACACAACTATCAAGTAGAACCTTCTGGGAGCCCACCTTAAGGTCCAAACCTATAGGTTAGAGGAGTTAGAGCACTCTCACCTTGTGGAAGTTAGCAGCAACTGATTAGTTTTATGTGTAGATCTTGCTGTTCTGACTCAGGAAGTAAGGACAGGGGAGGAGAGCAAGACTGGAGATTGGTAAGCTGTCTGAAACCATTCTTCCCAGATGAAACTGTTTGTTCTTTCTTCACTGAATTCCATTCTGTCTTTCTGGCTCTTTCCTCCCTTACAAGTAAGAACCGTAAGTCCAGCATTTTTGAAAACATTCTTTTGAACTTACCAGATGTCAGGGTATGCCTTCAAAGGGTTTTATTGTAGAATAGGAGATGCAGTGGACTGAACAAAGGAATTCAGTATTGCAGCCACAGTGTCACTGCTTTGAAATGTTTAAATTTTACCAATAGTCCTTTGTTCGGAGAAAAGCTGAGTGTTGAGAGAGAAGCTGAGGCAGGGCTTGCGTGTCTGCTAGACTTGCTGGCTCCTTGCTTCTAGAACTCTTGTTATCTCAAGCAGCCAAATGTTTCTCATTCACTTCATACACTGTTTCCTTTCAATCCCCACATCCCCATCAACTGTTTGTTTGAGCACCAATAAGTAGCATGGCCTCCCAGAGCTTGGGGACTTTGCAGCCTCCACACTTGTGATGGCCCCCTGGTCCCAATTTCTCTCTCAAACTGTCTTTTTCTCATTCCTTTGACTCCGCCGGACTTCATTGCCCCCAAGACCTGATGTTGGGTCTGAGCACCCCAACATTCCTGGTGCCCAATGTGGGGCAACCCTGGTGAAGGAACGCTAGAGCGTGTGAAAGCAGAGGACGCCTCATCAAAGGACACCCGAGGTCGTCTAAAAGAAGTTCGGCGGGAAAGCTGAGCGCTGGGAAGAACCAGGGTAACAATGGGACAAAGTGAATGCAGACATTCTGCTTATTTAAATTTTTTAAAGCATTTATTATGAAGTGGGGGAGTAAAAGTTGGTACTCAGTTTGTTATCACTTTTTAGTACAGTAAAGCTGTTTTGCCCATGGTTCCCGGAACAGGGGACTATGGAGTTGGATGAATGGGAGAGAATTGGAAGAGATTTTTTCAAAAAGGTGTATAAAGACGGAGCAGTGACAGGTACGGCGGGGGGTGCTGGGTCCTGCTGAGGCGACAATGGCAGAGGGGCCCGAGGAAGCCCAAGGCCGCCCTCCTGGGCACGACGAGGGTGGAGGGGGCCACGAGTCCCTCCCTACCCTGAGAGGCCCTCCTGCCGCCACCGTCCCATGCCCCCATGACGACCCCCAGGCCAAACCCCATGCCCCTGGCCAGCCCACAGCCCGGGCCTCATGGCTGTGCCTGACAAATCAGAGCCGCCCCGGTGAGCTCAGGAAGCGCGGGGAGGCTGCTTCCGGCTCCGTGCTGGGCTGCCGAAGTGCCCAAGGCACAGCCCCGCGGGAGAGACCGAGTGCTCCCGGCAAGTGCGCGAGTGGCTGTATCAGTCCTGCTGTGGCTACCTCACCTGGCACCGCTGGCCAGGCCGCCTTCCCGGCTTGCTGCAGTCCCCAGCAGTCCCCGCAGAGCTTCCCTTCGGACAGCGCTGCTGTCCCAGTGGCTGGGCTATTACAACCCCTTCTACTTCCTGAGTCCTGGGCCGCCGGCCCTGACCCGGGTACAGCTGCTGGCATCAGCACCCAGGCTCCAGTAACTGGCCTGGGACCCCGGGCTTCTCATGTGCAGGCATCAGTCTGGGCCACTCCAGTGACGAAGGTAGGATCAGCAGCCCCTTCGTGAAGCCTGAGTGAGACCGGGCAACAGGCAGGCGGAGAATATGTTATTCCATCCTTGGCCCAGGATGGTGAGTTTCTTTATTCTTTTCTTTGTAAAAGCAACCATTGTCTTAAGCATTATGCACCTCAGTGGGATAAAGGATATCTCTAAGTTTGCTATGCATTATGTAATGGAAAAAATAGATAAAGACACATCAGTGGAAGACTTGCAGAAAATGATGCAGACTATTAGTTTGTTTCTATGAGATAATTTGCATCTGGGGAGCAGGTGGAGCTACCCCAGGGAAGTTCCTGGTGGGGCTTCGAGTTGTGACATGTGATACATTAGTGCTTATTGCACTAAGTCGGGTTTTAGTGATTCTTTCCTCAAACGTTAGCATTACAATGTCCACTACATGAGCTTTGATCAAGAATTTTTCAATTGCTTCTTTTTTCCCTGCTTGCATCACACTGCTGTTTTTTCAGCATAATCGATCAGCCTATGATATTGTGGCAGGAACCACTGTGGTAAAAAGAAATGGGGTCAGATGATGCCCCCAAAGCCCTGATTTCCACACGCTATAATGACAAGACTAAATTATGTATCAAGGCCATCAGTATCCCTGGGCTACACTAATTGATGATTTAGAAATTAAAGCAGTCACTCCAGTGTGATGCAGATGATTACTCTGAAAGTATTGATTTTACTTAAATGTCAAAGAACTTGTCCAGAAGAAAAACCTGTTAAATTCAGGTATTAAAATTTTTAGATAAAAAAGGCAAATGATTTTATAAACAATGAACAATATATTCTTAAGATCTAAGGCATTTTCTTAAGATCTAAGAATTTGCTGAAAGCATCTTCAGCTTTGAAATCTCCAAATGAAACTTTAAAATTTATTTTAGTTTATCCCAAAATAATGGAAAATGTCCAGTTGTGTATTGTAAATATCTATGTAACTCATCTTTTAGTTCACACTTCCTGGGGAGCCACCAAAGAAGGTACCCACAGGAGTTAGGGGACCCTCACCCTGAGGAACAGTTGGCCTATTACTTGGAAGGTCTAGTCTGAATTTAAAAGGTGCTACTGTACATATGGGAATAATTGACTCTGATTATACTGGAGAGATTCAATTAGTTATTAGTTCCTCTCCGTGTTCTGCCTCCCCAAGAGAAAGAATTGCTCAGTTGTTGCTGTTACCTTATATAAAACTAGGAAGCAGCACAGTGAAAAGAACAGGAGGCTTTGGTAATAATAATCCAGCAGGAAAGGCTGTGTATTGGGTTAATCAAGTGTCTGACAAAAGACCTATTTGCACAGTAACTGTTCAGGGAAAAGATTTTGAAGGACTAGTAGATACTGGAGCTGATGTCTCTATTATTGCTATAAATCAATGGCCCCAGCACTGGCCTAAGCAAAAGGCATCCACTGGTATTGTTGGAGTAGGAGCTGCCTCAGAAGTTTTTCAGAGTTCCTTGATTTTACCATGTCAAAGGACGAATGGTCAGGAAGGGACAATCCAACCTATCATTACACCTATTCCTATCAATTTATGGGGTAGAGACTTATTGCAACAATGGGATGCTGAAATACCTATTCCTATGGATCAGTATAGTAATCATAGCAGACAAATGATGAAAAACATGGGATATCACCTGGGAAAAGGACTAGGACAATATAAAAATGGCCAATCAGAACCTTTAGAATTAAAAGGGCAAACAGATCAGACCGAATTGGGGTGTCATTTTTAGGAGCGACCATTGTTGAGCCTCCAGCTCCCAATCCTCTTGTTTGGCTATCAAACCGGTTTGGGTGGAGCAATGGCCACTGAAACAGGAAAAACTGGAGGCTTTAAAAGAACTGGTGCAGGAACAATTGCAAAAGGGATATATACAGCCTACTTTCTCCCCTTGGAATTCTATTGTATTTTTCATTAAGAAAAAATCAGGGAAATGGAGAATGTTAACAGATTTAAGGGCTGCTAATGCTGTGATTCAACCCATGGGTGTTCTACAACCAGGGCTGCCCTCCCCAGCAATGATACCAAAATAGTGACCTCTCATAGTGATAGATCTAAAGGATTGCTTTTTTTTACCATTCCTTTAGCTGCCCAAAATTATGAAAAATTTGCTTTTATTGTTCCCACCATAAATAATGAAGAACCAGTGGACAGCTACCATTGGAAAGTATTACCACAAGGCACGCTAAATAGCCCGACTATTTGTCAAACTTATGTGGGAAAGCTATTAAGCCAGTTAGAAGACAGTTTAAAAAATGTTATATCATCCATTACATGGATGATATTCTGTGTACAGCTGAGACTAGGGAAGAATTGATGTTGTGCTACAAACAGTTATAAAAGACTGTAAATGCGGCAGGGTTAATTATAGCCCCCAATAAAATCAAAACTTCTACTCCCTTTCATTATCTTGGAATGAAGGTAAAGCAAAGTGCTATTAAGCTTCAAAAGGTTCAAATTCAAAAAGATAATTTAGAAACCTTAAATGATTTCCAAAAGTTATTAGGAGACATTAATTGGATTTGTCCAACTTTAGACATTCCTGCCTATGCTATGTCTCACCTCTTTTTTTACTTTACAAGGTGATTCTAACCTTAACAGTAAACGCTTCATGTCCAAAAAAGCATGGGAGGAACATCAATTAATTGAGGAAAAAATTCAGCAAGATCAACCCATGTCTGCAGCTGAACAACACTTGACAGGACAAAAGGAAAATAAAAAGGCTGGACAAGATGTATGGTAGAGGGATGCACATACAAAGAGCTGGGAAAAAGGAAAGATAATTTTATGGTAAGAGGATTTGCTTGTGTCTCTCCACGTGACAATCAGGTGCCTGTGTGGGTGCCCACCAAACATCTGAAGATCTATCATGAACCACAGCATCTAGTGGACCCACCTGTACAGTGCAAATTGAAGGCTTAAGGATTACTTTTTTGCTATACTGTTGCACAAGAAGGATAAGCCTCGATTTGCTTTTTCTATGCTTTCTGTTAATCAGAAAAAGCCTGCTTCTCATTATCAATGGCAAGTTTTACCCCCATGATAATTAACCAAAGGGCAGAAGCTGAGTTACAAATGCTTCAGCAATGGCATGCCTCCCAGCTACAGCCACAAATGCTTTTGCTTGTGTTTCAGTGCATTTACTAACGTGGGGGTGAGGATATGCTTGTGTTTTTGCAGGAGATGAACAAACCATGTAGATGCCCTCAAGATGTGTTTGACCATGGAACAGGAGAATGGAAGGACCCATGGATCCCAACCATGGCCTGGGTTCCCCCAGTACGAGCCATGCTGAGAAACTGCTGGAGCACCAGGGTTTTACCTATAGATGCTTAATGGACCAGTGCTTTCTGACTGAACTCCTCTCTACCCTGAATACAAGAGACCCTAATAGGTAGGCAGGAGTATGATCACCCCTATTCAACATGAAGAAGTTACAGAAGACAGACCTTCATCCTTCTGCAACCCCTAGGATTAAGGGTCCTCTTGTAAAAGGGAAAGGGGAGATATGTAGGAAGCATTCAAATCAGAGCAACTCCATTTTGAATAAGGGCTAAGAAAAATGAAGCTGGATCACCAAGTGGCAATTAAGGGCTGCACAGCCTGCAATTGCCTTGCTCAATTTAAAGAGGCCACCTTATGCTAATAATGATAGCTGGGGCAGTTTTTACAAAAAAGAAGTGGGGCATGTTGGGAGAAAAGCTGAGTATTGGGAGAGAAGCTGAGGCAGGGCTTGCACGTCTGCTAGACTTGCTGGCTCCTTGCTTCTAGCACTCCCATTATCTCAAGCAGCCATGTGTTTCTCATTCACTTGATCCACTGTTTCCTTTCAACCCCCACATCCTCACTACGTGTTTGTTTGAGCACCAATATATAGCATGGGCTCCCAGAGCTTGGGGCTTTCGCAGCCTCCACACTCAACAATGGGCCCCTGGTCCCACTTTCTCTCTCAAACTGTCTTTTTCTCATTCCTTTGACTCCACTGGACTTTGTCCCTCCCACGACCTGGTGTTGGGTCTGATCACCCCAACGATTCTTCTTGTGTTTAAGTCTGTCTTCATATCCAGTGTCAGTTATCTCCTTTTGAAGAGGTATGAACTCTTTCACTTTGTACATGATTCTTGCATGGAAAAGGATATCTCTGCTCTCCTTTTAATATTTTAATGTTTATATTTTAAATGTAACAATGTAGGGCTAAACATTAGGACAGAAATAATACAAAAAGTATGCAAATGACTGAGTTTTCTATCTTCAGCACAGTAATATCAGTTAGAAATTTTTTGAGGTTCAGGGTTTTCTCAGTAACTTCATAAGTCTTAAAAGCCATTCTATTTATTTCAGTCTACTAAATGATTCTAATGCCCATTGTTAAAAAAAAACAAAACAAAACCTCTCAAAAACAGAAGAAGCCCAGGAGGAAAAAGAAAGAACTAAAAATATTTTAAGTTTTTGCATTTGGTTTCCTTAAATTAAAATTATTCTTAGTTTGTAAACTATTGCCATAGAAATAGTTATAAAATATTCTTTTAAAAATATCAAATTATATATTAATATAATATTTGTTATTTTTCAAACCTGGATATCATCACCTGTATTTTCTCTAAAAATTCTAACCTTGATGCAGTCTAACAGATGAGCTTACTTATAAATTTTTTAGGTGATTTTAACTTCCTCTTTACTTGAAATATCTAAACATCACATTCAACTCTCACAAAACAAATAGGTATAGGTCATCTGTTCAATTCATAGGATTTAATGCTCTCTAACACCATATTAGTCCAGAGAACTCTGATTAGCAGAGATGATATGCCAAGGCTTGGAGTTTGCACCCTCTGAAGCCATGGTCTGAGCTGTACCTTGGGCCCTTTTAGCCATGACTAGAATGGCTGGGACATAAGGCACCAAGTCCCTAGGCTTTACACAGCCAGGAGGCCTGGGCCCAACCCAGGAAACCACTTTTTTCTCCTAACTCTCTGGTCCTGTGAAGAGAGGGTCTCCCACAAAGGTCTCTGATACTCTGGAAATATTTTCCCCATTGTCTTGGTGATTAACATTTGACCCCTAATTAATTATGCAAATTTCTTCAGCCTTCTTGAATTTCTCCTCAGAAAGTGGGTTTTTCTTTTCTATCCCATTGTCAGGGTGAAAATTTTCTGAGCTTTTATGCTGTTTCCCTTTTAAAACTGAATGCTTTTAACAGCACCCAAGTCACCTCTTGAATGCTTTACTGCTCAGAAATTTCTTCTGAAGGTACCGTAAATCATTTCCCTCAAGTTCAAAGTTCCACAAATCTCTAAAGCAGGGGCAAAATGCTGCCAGTCTCTTTGCTAAAACATAGCAAGGGTCACCTTTACTCCAGTTCCCAACAAGTACCTCATCTCCATCTGAGACCACCTCAGCCTGGATTTCATTGTCTATATCATTATCAGCATCTTGATCAAAGCCATTCAACAAATCTCCAGGAAGTTCCAAACCTTCCCACATTTTCCTGTCTTATTCTAAGCCATCCAAACTGTTCCAGCCTCTGCCTGTTACCCAGTTCCAAAGTTGCTCCCACATTTTTGGGTATCTTTACAGCAGTGCCCCACTCTACTGGAACCAATTTACTGTATTAGTTCCTTTTCATACTGCTGATAAAGACACACTCAAGACTGGGTAATTTATAAAGAAAAAGAGGTTTAATGGGCTTACAGTCCCATGTGGCTGGGGAGGCCTCACAATTATGGTGGAAGACAAAAGGTACATTTTACGTAGCAGAAGACGAGGGAATACGAACTAAGCAAAAGTGATTTCCCTTATAAAACCATGAGATCTCAAGAGACTTATTCACTACCATGAGAACAGTGTGGGAAACCACCCCCATTATTCAATTGTCTCCCACCAGGTCCCTCCCACAACATGTGGGAATTATGAGAGCTACAATTCAAGACGATATTTGGGTTGGGACACAGCCAAATGTATCAAGAGAAATGCTTAGTTAAGATAAAAGAGCCACTAAATGTATGGGAGGTAGACAGAAACATGTTCTGATTTATAGCAATCAGGTTCAGTACTATCTGTGGTTTCAGGCATTTACTGGGAGTCTAGGAAGTTATCTTCTATGGATTAAGTGGACTACTGTACTTGTATTTTTTGAAAGAGTTTTAGAATGATGTGTAATGATTCTGTAAATGTTTGGTAGAATTCAACCATGAAGACATCTGACCCACAGCTTTCCTTGTTGGGAGGTTTTTAATTACCATTTGTATTAGTTTGTTTTCATACTGCTCTAAAGAACCTTACCTGAGATTGAATAATTTATAAAGGAAAGAGGTTAATTGACTCACTGTTCTGCCTGGCTGAGGAGGCCTCAGGAAAACTTACAATTGTGGTAGAAGGCAAAGGAGAAGAAAGGACCTTCTTTACAAGGCAGCAGTGGTTGGGGAGAACTCATTCACTATGAAGAGAACAGCATGGGGGAAACCTTCCCCATGATCCAATCACCTCCTACCAGGTTCCTCCCATGACACATAAGGATTGCAATTCAAGATGAGATTACAGTAGGGACACAGAGCCAAAAGATATCATTCTGCCCTTATCCCTCCCAAAGCTCATGTCCTTTTTAGATTTTAAAACCAATCGTGCCTTCCCAACAGTCCCCCGAAGTCTTAACTCATTTCAGCATTAACTGAAAAGTCAACAGTCCAGGGTCTCATCTGAGGCAAAAATCCCTTCTCTCTATGAGCCTGGAAAATCAAAAACAAATTAGTTACTTCCAAGATACAATGAGAGTACAGGAATTAGGTAAATGTCCTCATTCCAAATGGGAAAAATTGGCCAACACAAAGGGGCTACAGGCTCTGTACAAGAATGAAATCCAGTGGGGAAGTCATTAAATCTTAAAGCTCCAAAATAATATACTTTGACTCAATGTCTCATATCCTGGGAATGCTGATGTAAGGGGTGGGCTCCCAAGGCCCTGTGGCTCTGCAGGGTAGGGCCCCTGCAGCTGCTTTCATGGACTGGCATTGAGTGCCTGCAGCTTTTCCAGGTTCATAGGCCCAACACCAGGTGGAAGCCATCAAGGCCTGGGATTTGCCCCCTCAGAAGCAATGGCCTGAGCTGCACCTTGGCACCTTTTAGCCATGGCTGAAGCTGTAGCAGCTGGGATGCAGGGCGCCAAGTCCCAAGGATGCACAGAGCAGTGATGGGGCCCTGGGCCTGGCCCAGGAAATGATTTTACCCTCCTAGGCCTCTGGGCCTGTAATGGGAGGGACTGCCATGAAGATCTATAAAATACCCTGGAGACACTTTCCCCATTGTCTGTGCTATTCACATTTGGCTCCTAGTCACTTATGCAAATTTCTGCAGCAGGCTTAACTTTCTCCTCAGAAAATGGGTTTTTCTTTTCTACAGCATGGTCAGGCTGCAAGTTTTCCGAACTCATGCTCTGCTACCCTTTTAAACATAATTTTTAATTTTAGATCATTTCTTTCTTCATACATATAAACGTACACTTTTACAAAATGTCTGGTCACATCTTGAACACATTGGTGCTTAGAAATGTCTTCCATCAGATAGACTAAATTATCTCTCTCAAGTTCAAAGTTCTACAGATCTCCAGGGCAGGGGTAAAATGCCACTTGTCTCTTTGCTAAAGCATAGCAAGAGTGACGTTTGCTCCATTTTCCAATAAGTTTCTCATCTCCATCTGAGACCATCTCAACCTGGACCTCATTGTCCATATCTCCATCAGCATTTTGGTCAAAACCATTCAACAAGTCTCTAGGAAGTTCCAGATTTTCCCACGTCGTCTTGTCTTCTTCTGAGCCCTCCAATCCATTCCAACCTCTGCCCATTACTTAGTTCCAAAGTTGCTTCCACGTTTTCAGGTATCCTTATAGCAATGCTCCACTTCTCTCACTACCAATCTTCTGTATTAATCTGTTTTCAAACTACTTTAAAGAATTACCTGAGACTGAGTAATTTAAAAGTAAAGAAGTTAATCGACTCACAGTTTCACATGGCTGAGGAAGCCTCAGAAAACTTACAATCATGGTGTTATGTGCATCTGTGTGAAGAGACCACCAAACAGGCTTTGTATGAGCAATAAAGCTTTTTAATCACCTTGGTGCAGGCAGACTGAGTCTGAAAAAGGAGTCAGCAAAGGGTGATAGGGGTAGGGAAGTTTTATAGGATTTGGGTAGGTAGTGGAAAATTACAGTTAAAGGTGGCTGTTCTCTTGTGGGCAGGGGTGGGGGTCACAAGGTGCTCGGTGGGGAGCTCCAGAGACTTATTGTCCAGGAGAAGGAATGTCGCAAGGTTAATTGATTAGTCAGGGTGGGGCAGAAACAAATCACAATGGTGGAATGTCATCAATTAAGTCAGGAACTGGCTATTTTTACTTGTTTTGTGGTTTTTCAGTTGCTTTAGGCCATCTGGATTTATACCTGCAGGTGACAGGGGATATGATGGCTTAGCATGGTCTCAGAGGCCTAACACATGGTAGAAAGCAAAGGAGAAGCAAGCACCTTTTTTTATAAGGCAGCAGAAGAGAGACATTGGGGGCAAGGGAAAGTGCCCCACTTTTATTTAAACCATTATACCTCCTGAGAACTCACTCATTATCATAAAAACAGGATGAAAAAACCACCCCCGTGACCCAATCGCCTCCCACCAGGTTCCTCCCTTGACATGTAGGGATTACAATTCAAGATGAGATTTGGGTGGGGAAACAGACCCAAACCATATCACTACTTCAATCTCTATATTTGTTGGGTTTTTTCAGGCTCTTTATTTATGTCTGATTTAATATTGGTAGATTGTATTTTGCTAGGAATTTATTCATTTCCTCAATTATTCAATTTATTGGCATATGATTGTTCGTAATAGTCCCTCATCCATTTTATTTCTGAGATATCAGTTGTAATGGTTCCACTTTCACTTATAATTTTATTTTACTCTTCCCTCTTGGTTAGCCAAGCTGAAAGTTTGCCAATTTTATTTTTTCAAAATGCCAACTCTTCTTTTTGTTATTTTTTCTATATTTTTCTATTCTTTACTGTATTTATTTCTGTTCTGATCTTTTTTGTTTCCTTCTGATAATTTTGGGATTGATTTTTTTTTTTTTATTTTAAATGTTGTTTTCTGGGGCAGAATGTTAGGCAATTTCTTTGAGATCTAAATCTGACCCCCACAGGCCACAAGTACCTGTTATTATTATTTCATATATTATATCATGTGTCCTAGTGTTTTAGCTGGGACTTAAAGAATATACAAATACTTTCATCCTCATCAGGGAACTTATAAAGGTAAGATTAACTAAACATGATGTCAACCTATGCTCAAATATGACATACTGGAAAATGGGGAAAACACTATATGCCACTGTGAACGATGTGGTCCTCATTGTTCCAAGATGCATCAATCACATATACTGGAAATTAGAATATAGTTCCTCCTGTTTCATGATGTCTGAAACTTCTCTACCTTGTGGCATGCCTGTTCAGCTCAATAGTAATTTACTCTGTGTCCAGGGAGTCTGAGGATTTGCCAAATTGTCATCGTCCTTCCTCATCTTTTCCTAGGAGGGTCCCTTCCCCTATTAAGAAAACAACCTCAATCTTTCTTTCTCAAAGATGGTTGAACTTATTAGGATAGAAATAAAGAAAATCTGCCTGATTATTTATTTGTCTTCAGCATATTACTGACTACTTAATGCTAATTTCTGCTATCCTCATCCTCTGCAATTTATTACAACTCTACTCAAACTCTACTTTTTGATGGCTTTCTACTTGAGCATAAACACTCTTTCAAAATGTCAAAATGGACTGATAAGTTTACATTTCTGAGTCAATTTTCTTTTTGATTATGTATTTTGTAAATTAATTTTATGTGTCACATAGTTCACTGCTTTCATTTATTTTCTTATTTGAAAATATTTCATTGACAAAAATATATTTTCAAGGTGCACAGTGTGATAATTTTATATATGACTATGTTGTTTAAGGATTACTAAAATAACATTAATTAGCACATCTGTTACCACCTATAGTTCACCCTGCATATGTGTGTGCATGTGTTTATGTGTGTATGTGTGTGTATGTGTGGTGAAGACATTTGGAATCTGTTCTTCCATCAAATTTCAAGTAAAAAGTTCAGTATTATAAACTACAATCACCATGTGGTACAATGGATCCCCAGCATGTATTCTTCCTGTAATTGACCCCTCTGCTCTTTTTCTCTTCTAATACCAAATCTGCCAAAGTGAGGTTTTGCTCTGTCACATCTCAGGGTAACATCAGTGAAGCATACAAATGACATTAAGAGACAAAATAGGGCTGGACGCAGTGGCTCATGCCCTTAATCCCAGCACTTTGGGAGGCTGAGGCAGGCCGATCACTTGAGGCTAGGGAGTTCAAGCCCAGGCTGGCTAATGTGGCAAAACCCCGCCTCTTCTAAAAATACAAAATTATCTGGGCATGGTGGCACATGCCTGTAGTCTCAGATACTTGGGAGGCTGAGGCGCAAGAATTGCTTGAACCCAGGAGGCGGAGGTTTCAGTGAGCTGAAATCACGCCACTGCACTCCAGCCTGGGCAACAGAGCCAGACCCTGTCTTAAAAAAATGAGAGAGAGAGAGAGAGACAGACAGACAGAGACAGAGACAGAGAAAGAAAGAGAAAGAGAAAGAGAATATAGAGCCAGGCATTGTGGCTCATGCCTGTAAGTCCCAGCACTTTGGGAGGCTGAGGTTGGTGGATCACTTGGAGCTCAGGAGTTTGATACCAGCCTGGGCAACATGGCAAAACCCTGTCTCCATGAAAAATACAAAAATAGGCCGGGCATTGGTGGCTCATGGCTGTAGTCCCAGCTATTTAGGAGGCTGAGGTGAGAGGATTCCTCGAGCTCAGGAATTTGAGGCTGCAATGAGCTATGGTTATGCCACTTCACTCCAACCTGGCCAACAAAGGGAGATTCTATCTGTTAAAACGAACGAGCAAAAATACAACAAAACCTGATTCTAATACTCATTACCTTGGTGATCTCTGACAACTTACTTACTGTATCTAGGCTCTACTTTATCATCCTAAAAATGGAACTTTTAATAGAACCTACCTCAAAGAGCTGTTGTGATGGCTAAATTAATTGAGACATGTAGAATCTCTATAATATAATAGTAAGTGTGAGATATTATTACTACCTGGTAATTTCTATGACCATCTTAAAGATTCATTTTCAGTACAGCAACAATATGGTAATATTTATCCTCACATGACAATGTGCTATGCAATGTTTAATTTATTCCAATGAGATATATTCATTAGTGTTTCTTTGGCTGCACATGGGATTTTATTTTATGATGGTGAACCAAGAAAATATTGTAGACTCTGATACTTTCAATAAATTCTTAGGATTATTAAAAAGAATAAAGGAAATCAAAATACATAAGAAAACATATGGAGTTAAGGAAAGCAACCATGTTTAAAAGGCAAGATAACGATATCATTGCATACAGATCAGACCTCACTTGCATGGTGAAGGTCTGTAACTGTCAAAGGACATCTGTAATAGCCAGCAGATAGATACAGTATGGTGTAGTGCATTTTATTACTTTTATTTGCTTTGTACAAGTAGAAAAATCAACTGATGCAATCAAACAGTGAAGTAAATGAAAATATAGTGCATTCGATATAGTGCATATTGATAAAAATTATGGATTGTCAACTCAGTGAGAGACTACAAAGTTAATTCATCATAGAATGGTCCCCCTCCTCAAAGATGTAAAAACAACTGGAACACAAATTTTAACCACAGTTTATTACTTTTTTTTAGATAAATAACGGGAAAATCTGTGAAAAAGGCAGTTATTAAGCAAGAACAACTAGAGAGAAAGAATAAACCTGAGAATTTCTATGGATGTCTTCTAAACTTAAGCATAATTGATATATCTACTCATGTAAACAGAATGGGCTAACTGAAACAAAATCAGGTGCTAATCAGAATTTACCGATTATTGAGCTACAAAGTATGTTCGGTTAACAGACTTCTATGTGGAAATAAAAACATTGATAAGGAAATAGTAGGATCCTAATATTCGGAATAGTAATTATTCGAGCACATCTGTAAGACTTAAAATCATCACATATCATCTAAACAACCAGTATTAAATGCAATGTCAGAATATACAAGCAAAAAGTATGAAGGCTAAAACAGAAGGAAAATGCTTATATACACAAAAACACACAAACAGAAACATACAGAAGCACACACACTGTAAATTTTATTCCAGTAGCAGATAAAAAACACTGGAATCCTCGTAACTCCCTTCTGTAATGACCACTGTTTCCTACTGCCACCCAGCATACTAGCTTTCCTTGTCTCCCTTTTTTCTTTGTCTATATCCATCGTGCACATTCTACTGTTATATAAAATGGACTTATTGTGAATACAATTCATCTATCCATCAAGGAAGGCAAAGATTTCTACTATTTTGTTTATTAATCTATGTATAGCAATTAGAAGAGCCTATCATGTATGAGACATATGTAAATATATGTTGAATCAGTTATGCTTGTTATGTCTTCTGGAAGTATGCAGAGCAAAAATTCATGCCCATAACCTAATTTATAGGAATCATATTGTACAAAATTTAAACAAAAATATTACATAAGTTATTCCATGTCCTTCGTAGGGCATATTTTACATCTTTGTTTCGTAAACTATAGATCAAGGGATTCAACATGGGGATAACCAGGGTGTAAAATATGGAAGCCACTTTATCAGTGTCAAAGGAATGACTGGACTTGGGCTGCACGTACATGAAAAGCAAAGTCCCATAGAACACTATGACCACTGTCAGGTGGGCTCCACAGGTAGAAAAAGCCTTTTGTCTGCCAGCAGAATTCATCCTGAGAATGGCTACAAGGATGAGCAGGTAAGATAAAAGAACTATCAGAAGAGATGAAATCAAATCAATAGCTGCAAAGATCAGAATTATCAATTCAATTTCATGTGTATTTGAACAAAGCAAAGGTAACAAAGGGAGACTGTCACAGTAGAAATGACTAATGACGTTGTAGCCACAGAAGGATAAAGTAAAAATCTTTATGGTGACTAGAAGAGAAATGAATGTGCAATAGAGGTAAGGGATTGCTACCAGCACCTGACATACCCTTCGTGACATGATTACTGTGTATAGCAGAGGGTTACAGATGGCCACATAGAGGTCGTAGGACATGGCTGAGAGAATAAAAAGTTCACTACCAATGAACACAAGAAAGAAAGCTAGCTGTGTTGCACAAAAATAATAAGAAATTATATTCTTATCCACAACAAAATTTACTAACATTTTGGGTCCCACAGTTGTTGAATAACCAAGATCCATGAAAGCCAGATGTCTGAGAAAAAAGTACATAGGGGTTTGCAACCTGGAGTCCAACTTGGTGAGGACAATCATGCCCAAATTGCCCATCACTGAGATCACATAGATCATGAGGAACAATGCAAATAATGGTGCCTGCAGCTCAGCGATATCTGTGATTCCCGTAAGAATGAATTCATTCACCGTTGTTAGATTGTGTTGTTCCATCCAGGTTCATCAGAAAACCTATTCTGATAGAGACATCGGCATTGTCAATAGCTTTCCTCTATCATCACCTGAGAAATTTTTTAGTATGCAAAGCTAACAGAAGATATACCTAAATTTCACAATTTGCGACATTTGAAAACATACCTCTCACAAATAAAAACATGTTTAAATAATTTAAGAAAGAGATAAGGCAGATCAGCAGTTTTCAGTTGCTTTTGATTTTACTCACCCAAAAACATTTTCTAATGTCTAGAGACATTTTATTTATCACAATTTGGAGGTGGGCCACTGTTGCATCTAAAGGTTAGAAGCCAGTAAGCTGCTAAACATTCCACTATAATCAATACTCAGCCCATCGCAATACCCAACCCCAAATATCAATAGTGCTAAGGTTGAGAAACTCTGATGAGATACATGAATAGACAGATGATAGATAGATAGTTAATGGGTAGATAGATAGATTATGGATGAACAGATAGAATCATATGAGAGAGAGAGAAAGAGATACAGATATTCATGTCTGTATAGATATATAAAGAAAAATTTTAAAGTTAAAAACATTGTTAATACCGTGGATATCTGATATATGAACAATTATTGTACTATGTTTTTAGAGCTTGGTCATATTTATAGATTAAAATTGTGACATAATACAATTTTAGTTATATAAAAAATTTCTGTCACAGATTCCAAAAATGCATAAAACCACCTGCTTCAAAACATCATCCTGTGAATACCCTTATCTCTTCGGGTGGTACAGCTGAGACTTTAATAGAGTTGACAGATATTAGGCATATGAGTAAGAGCAGCATAACAGATGACAGTGGCAATTATTTATATTTACAAAGCAAAAAATATCAGGAAATATATGGATATAGATATATTCTACACTATATCTTAATTTATGTCATATTTGAAAGGTTATTTTAGGCAAATAGTGTAAGTTATCTAAAACTGTTTGTTCTAATATCCAGAACCAACATGTCATTGCAGAATTGTTGGGAAGGATGACTGAAGATTAAGTGATTCAATGTGTCTTTGCTGCCTAGAAGTAGTTCTAAAACATCAAGTACATTGTGAGTTTTCTTCTTCTTGTTATTTGTTTTAATTGTGACAATGCCTTACTTGAAAGAGGTTTTTTTTACATGTGTACACATACATTATTCTGACTATGAATTAACTTCTTTGTTAGGACCATAATGATGCCTAGGGGAGTCACAGGTCAAGTAGGATGTAATACTTGCAACTTAGGGCAGTTCTTCTCCCCTCCCCCAATTCATGACTAAACTTGGGTAATTGGTATGCTATTGTTTTGGATTACTTATCTATTTTTCACAACGAATTTAATAACATTTTAAATAAATTATTTTTATATAAACTTTATTAAAACATTAATCTTCCCATAGTTTTATTCTCAATATAATTGAGAAATGCTAACTTGAATGTGAACGTTAAGTTTGTTTTATCATACAAAATCTTAGGGGAGTTTGAGGAAATCTGAACAAATTGGGAGAAAATGTGGTCCTTCATATTGGTTTTGTATAATGAAAATTAGTAAAAGCTACTTTTTGGGTAAAAGGATACTGTAGATTAAAGAAATGATTAAAAGTCACCTTGTTACACAATAACATAGAGACAAAATGAATACACTAAACATGAGATATACGTGGATTTCTGGCTGTGATTTAAAACTTTTCTGAACATGCAAGCCACAGAAACTAGGAAATATGGTATAGCACATAATACAAATTAACATATGTATAATCGAATAAATATATATCTAAATATCCCCCAATAACCCACAGATTTAAAATATAGTAGAGCAGGAGATGGAGGGCATGATAACCTAAGATAATCATTATTAGTTAAAAAAAATCGTAAGCCCCAATGTTTTTTGAAAAAAGAAAAGAAAGAAAATAGTTTTTACAATGAAAATTATAGTGACAGCAATCTCAGAGTGAGCTATGAAAAAATAAAGACAAGCAATTGTGTTACATTAAATATAAAGATGATTACATATTATTTGAACTTAATTTTTTAAATAAAATTATGACCTACTCCTATCCTACCCTGACTCAATGAACACACCTTTCTCATATTAGATATATGGTAATGTGTGGCAGTAGATGGAAAAGTTAGATAAATATCTTTAGTAAATAAGATGATGAGCAGCATAAATCCTGTATTTTGTTTGCTTGTTTTGTACAGTTTGGCAATTTAGAAAGGCAAATAATATCATGGATAAGTACCTGTTTTCTTGTTAGGTAAGGAAATATAAATGAGGTTCCTTTCACCATCTTTGGAGTTCTGTGGAAAGAACCAGATTGCTTTTTTTCATATTTTGCTGTCTTTGTTGAATATCAATTGCATTTTTTAAAGCTACAATCTTTGAGAAAATAATATCTGCTTTTGTCAACTCTTAGTGGAAATTGAAGTACTTTCTGAAAATTGTATTGTTCCCTAAAACTGGGTACTTAACAGTCTCCTAATTTTATTTTCTTCTATTTTAAAATGTTTTTTTTTTCTGTGCCTATGATTACCCAAAAAGCCTCATAATTTTTAATAATGCTTTTCACATTCGAATGTAAGGTAGCAACCCCCTTTTTGACTCACCAAGCAGTGAGAAAACAATCATATCTACACATTTATTTGAATAATCATTCAGTGTTAAATTATTGTTAAGGGGTCTGAGAGCCTAGAGCATCTAAATAACAAGTATTTGGAAGGACATGAACATGACTGACCAAATAGTTGCAGTTTCTCCATTCTTTCATTAAAAATATATTTATCTCCTTGTCATTGTGCTTTATTTTCTCCAAGTTTTGGCCTCAATTAGAGAAAAATATGTAAAATGAATACTTTAGAAACAATATCATGATAATGTTTCAAAGATGCTTATAGCATTCAGCCTGTGAAACCATGTAAAATACTTAAAAAGCATATGAAAAATGGAGCACCGTTATTTCTGCTTAGGCATTATTGAGTAACAGAAATCCCGGAGAAATGAATCAGAAATTGTCACACTTTACTATGGTTATGTCATCAAATTAAAGTGGCAGTTTTCCAATGTCACTGAAGCATTATAGATATCTGTAACATATGACACCACAAGAAACATTCTTACTTTTTTTTTTTTTACCTGTAAGGAAGCCTCTGTCTTGACTCCTCCATGTGTCTCTCACATGGCACAGTGAGAACAATTTATGCATTTTTTAATCTTTTGAGACTCTCCCTGAGGAGATGGCAGGCAATTTATTGATAATTCCTAAAGCATTTGAGAGCATAACAAAATGTTTGAGGCTGTCCATTAGTTGTAGAAGACAGTTTGTATTCACTAGTGTATCAGAGTTCTCCAGAAAAACAGTACTAAGAAGAGATAGTTAGATGAGAGATGATAGATAGATAGATAGATGATAGATAGATAGATAGATAGATAGATAGATAGATAGATAATAGAGATTTATTATGAATTGTTTTATGCAATTATGTAGGCTGAGGATTCCTGTGATTTGCTGTCTGCAAACTTCAAGAAAGCTGGTGGTATAGATTCAGTTCAAACTTGAAATATTGGGAGCCAGGGGAGCCAAGGGTGTACATCATAGTCTGAATTCGAAGGCTCTGGAATCTGGGATGTCAATGTCTGATGGCAGGAAGCGAAGGATGTCCTAGCTTAAGCAGGGAGTGAACTCACCCTTCCTCTGTCTTTTTGTTTTATTCAAGGCCTCAATTGATTGCACTGATACCCACCTATATTGGTGAGGATGATAGTTACTCTGTCTAACAATCGTAGTCTCTTCCAGGAGTATCCTCACAGGCACACCCAGAAATAATGTTTGCCAGCTATCTGGGCATCATATAGCCTAGTTAAGTCAACACTTTAATCGTCATTACTCCACCCCTTGTCAGCTTGGCAAACATAAGCATGTACTTAAACCATACTTAGTCTCTCTAAACATAGACAATAACAAGGTCATAGTTTTGCTTTACATGACACAACTATCCGGCATATAAATAAAAACTCACTAATCCTTTATTCCAATCAGGACATATATTCTTTGAGTGATACTGACTCTTCTCCTGATTTTCTCAGAGTAAAATTCTACAGTGTAAAAGTAACAATATTTAAATATTGATGTAAAGTCCATATATCATATTTATATAATAAGGTAATAAAAAATGGAATAAAGCATCTTAATAAATACACAGACATATTTATAATAAAATTAGGATGGAATTCTCATTACAATTACAGTCCTCATTTCTGAACTGGCCACATGATTATAGCTGGTATTTATAACCGTCTTCTTCTTCTTTCCATACTCTATTCCTTTTGTCTTTAGCAAGCACCTTAGTTGGCCATGGTTCTTTTTTCCTTGTGAAGTGGCCCAAACCTTTATTCCTGAAGAATGTGGGCCATTAGTAGTTCTGGCTAGTTTGGGCTATTACAGTTTTCCGTATATTATTATTACAGTTTTTCTTATTAATAAAAGATGTCCTAAGGAATGTCCCATATTCCAGGCTTATTCTTCCTTGTATTGTGAAGTAATAGCCCAATTTCCCCTGGAAAGTCAGGATCAAGTGTGATAACTTCCTGTTTTGTCTATTGATTCAGTTGCATGAGGAGCTCAAAATGGCTGGGTAAGAGTCTTAACTTCCAATTCAATAGAATTATTGCTATTTCTCTAGGTGGAAGCATTCATTCCTCTGTGACTAAGACCTGTAGGTCAGTAAAGCTTAAAGTCAATGGAGCAGGAAGCAGAAATTTTGACAGTGGGTCACTAGGGTTAATAGTGAGTGGTGTCTTGAATGTTAAATGACGAGTTAATGGGTGCAACACACCAACATGGCACATGTATACATATGTAACTAACCTGCACATTGCGCACATGTACCCTAAAACTTAAAGGATAATAAAAAAATTAAAAAATTAAAAAAAATAGTGAGTGGTGTCACTCATACTTCCATCTCTTCATTCCTAGGCTACTAGATCCAGTCTATGGCAAAAAAACAGCACAATATACTGGAGACTAATTCAAAGCATATATAGCTTTCTTGCAAACTTTTCCCCAGCTATTCAAATTATTGCCATCTAGCTGAATTGTAATTAAAATTTCAAAGCCAGTTTCTTTGGGATGTTGGGCAGCATGGTGAGTATGACTAGTGAATTCCATGATCATGGACACATTGCTGCACTTCTTTATCTGTGAAGTGAGTTTCTTGATATATGTAATGCCATGTGGAATATCATGATGGTACATAAGGCATTCTATAACTTGGAAGGTAGTTTTGGCAGAATTGCTTGCAGAGAAGGAAAATCTGTATCCAGAGTAAGTATATATTGCACTAAGAACAAAATGCTGCTCTTAAATGTTGGAAACAGTGCAATGTAACCAAACTCCTGCCAGGCAGCTGGCTACTCCCATTGGGTAATGGTGCCATATTAGTGGCTCTGTGTTGTTCACTGCTGCTGGAAGATTGGACACTCAGCAGTGACTATGGCCAGGTTGGCCCTCATGAGTGGAAGTCCATGTTGCTGTGAGACCACACATAACCTATGTCCCTGCCACCATGTCCACTTTCTTTGTGAGCCCATTGGGTGATGACAGGGTGCCTGAAGAAAGAGGCTGGCTAGTATCCACAGAATGTGTCATACTATTAACTTGAATATTACAATCCTCCTCTGCTGAGGTCACCATTTGGTGAGCATTCACATGGGACACAAATATCTTCACGTTTTTTGCTCATTCAGAGAGTTATGGTCATACTTCTTCCCTAAATTTCTTTGTCATTAATTTTTCAATCATGTCCTCTCCACGTTTTTTACTATCTAGCCACACCACTTGCCACAGCCCCTGAATCCATATGTAATCATAATTATCGCATGTCTGTTCTCTCATGATCACTTTCTAAGCAAAGTGCATCACCAGGTGCACCACTCAAAGTTGTGCACAGTGAGAGTATTTCCCTTTACTTCTGTCCATCAGGAATGTCCCAGAAAAGGCTTGTAGTGCTACAGTTGCCCACTTTTAGGGTGGTGTCTGCATATGATGCAGAACTATCTTTAAATGGGACTGGAGTCTTTTCTTCCTCTGTCATCTGACCATAAGGCACTCTCTATGAGGCCATGGGTGGAGACTGCGAGACAGAAGATAGTGTAGGAGGAGCGGGGACCATGTGCATCAGGCTATTTCTTCATGTAACTTACTTGTGCCTCAGGGCCTGTTCAGTCTTGAACACCATATACAGCAGTCACTTGGATACCTATTTTTTGCTTTTTGTGGTTTCAGTTACCTGCATTCAACTGTGTTCCAAAAATGTTAAAGAGAATTTCCAGAAAACAACTCATAAGTTGTAAATTACATATCATTCAAAATAGCACAATAAATTCTCACACTTTTTCACTCTATCTTACCTAGGGCGTGAATCATTTTTTGTCCAGTTATCCACAGTGTATATTTTCCTTGTCTGTTCCACTTAGTAGCCATCTTGGTTATCAGATGACTGTCACAGTATTGCAGTAACTGTGTTACATAACCGTTATTTTACTTAATGATGTCCCATACTGCAAGAGTTATGATGCTGGCAATTCAGATATGTCAAAGAGAAGGCATAAAGTGCTTCCTTTCTTTCAGTGTAAAGATGAAAGAAAAAAAAAATCCTATGCTAAGGTTGCTAAGAGCTGCAGTGAGAACAAATCTATTTGTAAAATTATGAAGAAGGGAAAATGGACTGTGTATGTCCAACTTTATGGCTGAGTGAGTCAGAAATCGTGCAGTTTATGATGTGTCAAGATAGTCAAGACTTCAGTTTCTAAGGCCTAATAGCAGGCCAAGAAGTGTTTTTTTAAATTTACTTGTTTGTTACCTATTTTTTACACTTGCTTAAATTTGCATTTGTACCACAGAGGACTCTTGATTAAAATATTGTATCTATAGTGCAGGCTCACAGAAAAAATATTGTATATACACGGCAGGTGGTATATACACAGTGGTTTCCTCAAAAAGGTGACAGAGTGGAGATGGTTTTCAACGTTGTCCTATTACTTTACTTAAGAATTTTACATGGAATAAAATAATGCACAAAGGAGAGGTGTTGCTTTTTTACTCATTTATGTTGTTCCTTTTTATTTCATCAGGGATAAAATTATTTAATTTTAATTTTGTTTATTCTTCAAATAAAAAATGGATATAATTACCCCTACTATGTACCTATAAAAATAAAAAATAAAAATAGTACTTAGAACACAGTAAATTTATTAGTATTAATAAATTATCTTAATATTTATTTTATTGTGACTTACCATCAGGTCTCTGTTTACAAATTATTTAGATTTTGGTTTTTTTCTTTATTACATATTGCAGCATTTCATTTTTTTATTCTGTTTAACCCTCAACTAAATTTTTCTTTTCTGTCTTGACAAAAACTTGATGTTTTATTAATATGTGTGTCCTATATTACTAATGTCATCCTGTGAACACATACAATTTGTGTATGTGTGTGTATTTACCATGCATATATGTTATTGTTATAATTTCATTGCTGTATTTAAGTCACTTTTTATTTGTGATATATCAATATTGTAACATTTGTGTTTCTTTCTGCATTATATACCTGCATTATATCATATATAATTATATAACTATGATACATGTCTGATAATTTTACCTTGTTTATTTTTTGTCCAGAGCAAGCCTATCCACAAAAACCAGCAACTTCCACGTTAAAGGCAGGGGTAGGGGGTAATTAGATTTGGAGTAAATGGTAGAAAATCCATGCACAGTAGTGAACGCAACTCTTTTAACCTCAGGTTATGATTATAGTTGGGGTAAGTAGCAGCAGGGAGGACTAGCCTGAAATTTAAAGTTCCTAGAAAGGAGATGCCAACTGAGGGATTTGATAAAAACTCCAATATCCTACACATCACCAGCTGTCTGACAACCTAAATACCCACATAATGGAGACTTGAGAGTACTCAAGAGGAAAGTAAATGCTGGGGTATACTTGAACACTAATACAGTTTAATGTGCTCCCCAAATCAGGCACATGTCAGCAGCAGAGGGTGCAAGCCTTATGAAATAAAAATTTTTAGAACAACTTTGACCACTAACCTAGAAGACAAAGAGGTAACTCTTAGAAAGTCAAGCTAAAAGTTAATAATGCAAAGGAAATGCTGAGCAGATAAATTAGTGGCCAAATTCTGCATATTAATTCTAAACAAGGTATTTTATAACAAAGAAACAAAAACACACACAGCAACAGAGAATCATAGAGGGAAAAAAATAAATAAAATCAAATTTTGGAGGTGCTAAAATATATTACAAAATTTCCAGTTCTCAGTACAAATCTGAGTCATTAAAAACAGAAAGAGGAAATAATGACCTATACTTGGATATGATTGATAGGTAGTCTATAAGCACCGCCTGTGACTGGACATAGATGTTGGATTTAGCCGACTCATATTTCAAAGAAACCATAACTAGTATTTCAAAGAATTGGAAAAATGTTTACAGTACTTGAGAAAATAAATCCACAAAAAATGAATATCAATAAAGAATTTGAATCCATTAAAAATAGATTTGAGAGTTGAGTATGGAAGTAATATATTAAGAAAATTTATCCTCATGGTTCAGTGTATAATATGCAATTGGTAGAGGTTCATAAAATACAGATATTCAGGTGTCAAACCTAGAGGCTGAAACCATGCCTGACTTGAGGCTCTGCAAAAGGAGAAAGTGAAGCCTTTGGCAGAACTGTAAGCTGCCTGAGCATTTGTTTGAGTCCATTTTTGCTTCTATAACAGAATACCTAAGAGTGGACAATTTATAAAGAACAAAAGTTTGTTTTTTGACAGTTCTACGCGTTAGAATTTTCAGAAAAAAAAGTACTGTAGAAAATGATTGACTTACCAAAGGAGAAAATCAAAAAAGCATTTTTTTTTTTCTGAAAGAATCAAATAGAAAATCTGGAGTTAAGAAACAAAATAACTGAAATGAAAAATTTACTTGTTAGATGCAACAGAAGATTGAGAGGCAGGGTGAAGAATCAACCAACTTAAAAAGAGGTAAATAGACAATATCCATTCTAAATAAAATAGAAGAAAGGTCACCAAAAAATCAAGACATCCTTGGACACTTGCAGTACTACTATTATGTTTATCAATAGAGTCAGTTGGAGTAGCAACAGAAGTTAAGGAGAAAAGAATAAAAATATTTCAAAAACTCCTGCAATTAGAGACATATCAGTGATATGCAGATATAGGAGACTAAACCAAACAAATTTGATAAACACAAAAGATTCTCACAGAGACATATAATAGTCAACTTTTTGGTAGCAAAAGAGGTAAACAGGGTATTTAAAATATCAATATAGAGGGGGAGCCTAGATGGTCGAGTGGACACAGCCAGAAATAACATTTCCCAGTTCCTGAGACATTGGGAAGACTGGCACACTCTGAATGGATCTTCAGAGAGAAGGCATTGAAAGTAGACAAAGAGAAAGTGCAGACACTGGGCTAAAGGGGTAGAAAGTCGAGAACCCTACACAGGCCTGCCGAGCACTGGGACCCACTCCTGGACCCCACTCACTCCTGGCGAATGGGTGAGTCAAACAGACAAAGAATAACCTGCTTTATCCATGGGCCTCCAGAATCCTAGTTGCAGGAGAACCAATGATCCCCCATGGACACTTGAGCTGGCAGGAATTGCTGCTTAGAAAAGTAATGGGGGCAGGACTCCAGATTTTACAGAGCACAGAGGGTTTGGTGCAGGAACAGCTTCAGTGGAGCATGGCCAGGGATACCCATTCCCCAAGGATCACCAAGCTCCTCTAGGAGGCTTCAGCCTTTAGGAGACTTACAGACCTGGACAGAACAGGGTGATCTTGTCTGTGTGATGGGGACAGTCTCATCTGAGTGCTCCCCTGTTTCCCAGCTTTTCCTGTGGCTCCAGCCTGGCTGTCCCTACTTGTAGCACAGCCTCCAATATCCAATCAGAGTGCTTTCTGGGGGCCCTCATCATAGCTGCTCTGCTGGTAGGCCACACATAACTAATGAAGAGGTCTAGCAGACTGGACCAAGCCAACATGAGCAGCCCATACACAACCATCCCCTGCTGCTTTGCTAACACCCGCCCCCCACATGGAAGTCCCACCACAACTTGACTAGCATGTGCATATGGGCGGATCTGTCTCCCCTCCTCTGATAGTGCATATGTGCACACGTACCCCACCATCATACTGCCAGCATGAGAATACCCCACTATCCTACCCACCCCTGGTGGCATGCTGCCCCCACTGAGGCACTGGCAGCCAGCCATGTTATCACTAAGGTAGCCAGTGCAAGTGTGTGTACAGACACTGGAACCATCTCCCCAACCTGCACTAAACCATTGCCACCACCAATGCCACCAACACAAATGTGTGTGTAGATGCCAGTGAATCCATCACTACCCTTCCAATGCATGGGCACCACACCATTACACTGCAGCTGCTGGTAAACATATGTGAGCATGGATCACAAGCCACCACCTTTACAAAGTGCTTTGGCTGGCACCCCTCATCACAGTATTGGGGCCAGTGGACTGGAAACACCTTGACCCCTTGAGCACAGCAGGTTTCTAACCTAAAGGAGTCAGAGAACAAAGTCAGTGGCACAATACAAACCCTCACAATTACAGCACACAGCCTAGGAGCGATGAGCTGAGCTCATCTTCCAGAGTCAGAGCCAGTTGACTGAACTCATAAGAAAATCAAACATCCCAGGGTATCAAAGATGATTAAAAAGAAAACAAAAGTGCAAAGGACAGTAACTTCAAAGATTAAAGGAACATCAGGCCACATAGGTGAAAAAGAACCAGAAAAGAACTCTGGCAACTCAAAAAGCCAGAATGGGCTGGGCACAATGGCTTACATCTGTAATTCTAGCACTTTGGGAGGCTGAGGCAGGTGGATCACCTGAGGCCAGGAGTTTGAGACCAGCATGGCAAACATGGCGATACCTCATCTCTACTAAAACTACAAAAATTAGCTGGGCATGGTGGCAGGTGCATATGATCCAAGCTACTCAGAAGGCTGAGGAAGGAGAATCACATGAACCTGGGAGGCAAGGTTGCAGAGAGCTGAAATTGTGCCATTGCACTCCAGCCTGGGTAACAGAGGGACATTCTGTCTAAAAAAAAAAAAAAAGAGTGTCTTCTTACCTCCAAAAGACCACGCTAGTTTCCCAGCAATGATTCTTAATCAGGAAGAAATAACTGAAATGTCACTCATGGAATTCAGAGTATGGATAGGAATGAAGATCATTGAGATTCTGGAGAAAGCCCAAACTCAATCCAAGGAATCTAGGGAATATAATAAAACAATACAGGAGAGTAAAGAGGAAATAGCCATTTTAAGAAAGAAGCAAATGTGTCTGATAGAGCTGAAAAACTCACTTCAATAATTTTATAATACAAGTATTAACATGGAATCAACCAAGCTGAGGAAAAAACCTCAGAGCTCAAAAAATGGATCTCCAAAATAACTCCATCAAACAAAATAAATAATAAAGAAGAATGAACAAAGCCTTTGAGAAATATGGGATTATGTAAAGTGAGCAAATGTATGGCTCATTAGTGTCCCTGAAAGAGAGGGAGAGAAAGCAAGGAACTTGGAATACATATTTGAGGATATTACCCAAGAAAATATCACCAATGTCACTAAAGAGGTCAACATTTAAATTCAGGAATTGCAGAGAACTCATGCTGGATATTATGCAAAACAACCATCCTTGAGACACATAGTCAATTCTCCAAAGTTGACATGGAAGAAAATAATATTAAAGGAAGCTAGAGAGAAGGGGCAGGCCACCTACAGTGGGAACCCCATAAGGCTAAAGGCAGACCTGTCAGCAGAAACTATACAAGCCAGAAGAGACTGAGGGCCTCTTTTTAGTGTTCTTAAAAGAAACTCCATCCAAGAATTTCATATTCAGCCAAACTGGGCTTCATAAGCAAAAGACAAGTAAGATCTTCTCAGATGAGCCAATGTTAAGATAATTTATTACCACCATGCCATCCTTACAAGAAGTCCTTGAGGGAGTGTTAAACACAGAAATGAAAGACTTACTGGCCACCACATAAACACACTTAAGTACATAGACCATTGATCGACATTGTAAAGCAACTACACAATCAAATCTGCTTAATAACCAGATAACGGCATGATAATGGGACATATCAAATTTTCACCTATCAATATTAACCTCCAATGTAAATGAACTAAAGACCCAATTAGAAGGCATAGAGTGGCAAGTTGCATAAAGAAGCAAGACCCAACTGTATGCTGTGCTCAGGAGACCTATCTCTCGTGCAATGACACCCATAGGTTCAAAGTAAAGGGACGGAGAAAAATCTACCGAGCAAATGGAAAACAAGACAAAACAAAATTGCTATTCTAATATCAGACCAAAGACTGTAAACCAACAACCATTAAAAAAAGACAAAGAAGGGCATTATGTGGTCCTTTAGGGAGTGCTAAATATGGGTTCAGTTCAACAAGAAGACTTAACTATTCTAAATATATATGTACTCAATGCAGGAGCATCCAGATCCATAAAACATGTTCTTAGAGACCTACAAAGAGAATTAGATAACCCTACAATAATAGTGGGAGAGTCCAACACTTCACTAACAATATGACATCACTGAGGCATAAAACTTATAAAGAGATTTGGAACATGAACTAGATACTTGGCCAAATGGACCTAACAGGCATCTACAGAATGCTCCACTCCACCAAAATAGAATATATCTTATCATCTGCATACGGCACATACTCCTAAATTGACCACATAATTTGCCATAAAAACAACTCTAAGCAAATTAAAAAAAAACTGAAATTATAGCAGGCATACTCTTGGACCACTGCACCATACAAATTGAAATCAATACTAAGAAGATCACTCAAAACCATATAATTACATGGAAATTAAATAATCTGCTCCTGTTTGAATTCTGGGCAAACAATGAAATTAAGGGAGAAGTCAAGAAATTCATTAAAACTAATGAGAACAAAGATACAACATATCAGAATATCTGGGAAACAGCTAAAGTACTGTTAAGAGGAAAGTTTCTTGTTCTAAACACGCAAATCAAAAAGTTAGAAATATCTCAAATTAACAATCTAACATCACACTTTGAGGAACTAGAAAAACAAAAGCAAACCAACCTCAAAACTAACAGAAGACAAATAATAACCAAAATCAGGTCTAAACTGAATTAAATTGAGATGTGAAAAGCCATACAAAAGATCAACAAATCCAGAAGTTAGTTATTTAAAAGAATGGACAAGATAGTTCACCAGATAGACTAATACAGAAAAAAGAGAGAAGATTTAAATAAACACAATCGAAATGACAAAGTGGACATTGGCAATGACCCCACGGAAATACAAAAAACTTTCAGAGACTATTAAAGTCATCTAATATGCACACAAACTAGAAAACCTAGAAAAAATTGATAAATTCCTGGAAACATACAACCTCTCAAGATTGACACAGGAAGAAATTGAAATCCAGAAGAGACCAGTAATGAGTTCAGGAATTGAATCAGTAATAAAAAATCTGGAAAAGCCCAGGAACAGACAAACTCACAGCTAAATTCTACCAGACATATAAAGAAGAACTGGTACCATTTCTACTGAAATCATTCCATAAATAAGTAAATAAATAAATAGGAGAAACTTCTTTCTAGCTTATTTTATGAGATCAGCATTATTCTGATCTCAAAACCTGGCAGAGATACACACACACACAAATTTTAGGCCAATAGCTTTGATGAAAGTAGACGAAAAATTCTCAATACTGGCAAACTGGATCCAGCAGCACATCAAAGTGCTAATTCCCATGATTGAGTAGGTTTTATCCCTAAAAAGCAACGTGGTTCAACATATGCAAATAAGTAAATGTGATTCATCACATAGGCAAAAATTTTTTAAAAAACATAATCATCTCAATAGATCCAGAAAAGACTTTTGATAAATTCGCATCGCTTCATGTTAAAAAATCCTCAACAAACTAAGCATTGAAGGAACACACCTCAGAATAATAAGCCATCGATGAAAATCTCACACCAGCATCATACTGAATGGATAAAAACTGGAAGCATTCACCCTGAGAACTGGAAGTGGACAAGGATGCCCACTCTCGTTACTCCTATTCAACTAGTACTGGAAGTCCTAGCCAGAGAAATCAGGGCAGAGAAAGAAATGACAGAGATCCAAATGGGAAGAAAGGAAGTCAAAGTATCTATGTTTGCAGATGATATAATTTTATACCTAGAATATTCCATAGTCTCCACCCCAAAACTCCTAGATTTGATAAACAACTTCAGCAAAGTTTCAGGGTACAAAACAAATTTATAATAATTGTGGTATTTCTATACATCAACAACGTCCAAACTGAGATTTTATGATGAAGATGCCAAGAGCAACAAAAACAAAAATTGACAAATGTGGCCTAATTAAACTGAAGAGCTCTGCACAGCAAAGGAAACTTTCAGCAGAGTAACCAGACAACCTGCAACAGAATGGGAGAAAATATTTACAAACTATGCAACCAACAAAGGTCAATATCCAGAGTCTATAAGGAACTTAAATACATTTTGAAGCAAAAACCAAATAACCCAATTATAAAGTGGTCAAAAGACATGACCAGGCACTTTTCAAAGAAGACATACACATGGCTAACAAACATATAAAAAACGCTCAACATCACTCATCATTAGAGAAATGCAAATCAAAACCACAAGAAGATACCATCTCACACCAGTTAGCATGGCTATTATTTAAAAGTCAATAATTAACAAATTTCAGTGAGATTGTGGAGGAAAAGGAATGCTTATATACTGCTTGTAGCAAAGTGAATTAGTGCAGCCATTGTTGAAAGGAGTTTGGCGATTTCTGAAAAAAACTTTAAATACTCCCCATTCAACTCAGCAATCCCACTATTGAGTATATGCCCAAAGGGATATAAATCTTTCTACCATAAAGGCATATGTGTGCATATATATATTCACTGCACCACTATGTACAATAGCAAAGACATGGAATCAACCTAAATGCCCATCAATGCTAGACTGCATAAAGAAAATCTGGTACATACACACCATGAAATACTACACAGCCATTAAAAAGAATGATATTATGTCCTTTGCAGCAATATGGATGGAGCTAGAGGGCGTTATCCAAAGTAAATTATTACAGGAATAGAAAACCAAATACTGCATGGTCTCACTTATAAGTGGAAGCTAAACACTGAGTACATGTGGACACAAAGAAGGGAAAAACAGACACAGGAATACTTGAGATTAGGAGGGTGGAAGAAGGGTGAGGAATGAAAATGTAGCAATCAGGTGCTATACTTATTACCTGGGTGACAAAACAGTCTGTACACAACCCCAGTGGCATGCAATTTATCTATACAGCAAACCTGCACATACACCTCTTAACCTAAAATAAAAGTTAAAAACTGTAAAAATAGGCCGGGTGTAGTGGCTCATGCCTGTAATCCCAGCACTTTGGGAGGCCGAGGCTGGCGGATCACCAGGTCAAGAGAGCGACACCATCCTGGCCAACCTGGTGAAACCCCGTCTCTACTAAAAATACAAAAATTAGCCAGTCGTGATGGCTGGCGCCAGTAATCCCAGCTACCCAGGAGGCTGAGGCAGGAGAATTGCTGGAACCTGGGAGGCAGAGGGTGCAGTGAGCCGAGATCGCGCCACTGTACTCCAGCCTGGGTGACATAGCAAGACTCCATCTCAAAAAACAAAAAACATGTTAAAACTATGATTAATGGAGATACCCAACGGTAGAGAAAATAGTTTAATAAATGGGGTTGTATAAATAGAATAGATTATTATAAAGTCACTCGTATTACCAACATAGGATAGATATTTATTAAATACCTATCATATCCTCAACATAATTTTAAGTGCTTCATATATAATATTTAATTGAATATTCACAAACACATGAGGCAGGTTCTAGTATTGTCACTTTGCAAACATGGACACTGACGATATGAGAGCTTAAGAAACTTTCACATGGTCACAAAGTAATTATATGATGTTTCTAGATACAAATTCAGAATTATGGTTTCCAAATACAAAGATTTTTTACCATAGCATAAAGTCTTTACTTGAAAAGTTATAATTGCAAAATGTTGAGAATGTAAAAGTATTCAAAATATGTGTGAATCCTAATTAAAGGGAAAATATATAAGTACACATATAATAGTATAATATTGTTCAGATCCTGTTTTCTAAATGCCGTAGTCTCATAAAAGCAAGACTCCTTGGAGCAGTGGTTAATTTTAGAGCTGAGTCCAGGAAAATACAAGATGACCTGGAGCACTTTGTGCTGCTAGAGTGTAAGAAGTAAAAACAAAACAACAGTGACAAAAAGAATTTTAAAAGACAGGGACATGTTCAAAGAGCAAAGAGCCCAGGAGCCAATTTGATGGTGATTCTATTAGCAAAGCTAGAACGATTTGAACAACAGAATAAATGATGTCAGTATGAGATAATAACATAAAGAGTAAAATAATTATGAGTGCATATTGATTTAAATAGAAGGCTGAATAAATAAACATATAGGGGAGAAATAACAACTCTTCCTTACAGAATAATTCCAATATATAGAAAGAGTAAGGAAAATAGTAAATTTTACCAAAATTATACAGTAATAATTGTTACAAGCAACAAACATTGATGAATAGTAAAAAGTAGTCATGAAATATTTACATAGTCTAAATTAGCTTTCCCCCAATAAATATTTAATAAATACAAAGATAGAATTATACTTCTACAGTAAAAAAAGTCCAGCACACACTACTTTAAATGATCAAGTTTAATATCACTAATAATATCACCTATCAACACATATACCCTGTGATAAAATGGAAAATGGTATACAGATTGCCTCTCTGGAACTATTCCCAATTATGAAAAACCTCAATTTAATCAGTAGAAAACATCAGGCAAGTTTTAATTGAAGGATAACCTATAAAATACTTGACAGGTACTAAAAAAGTATCACAGTCATGAAGAAAAGAAAAGAATATTGAACAGGAACAGACTCCGATAGACTAAGGAGACATGACACTAACCACAACCTGGCATCCTGGATTGGATCCTGGAAGAGAAAATAGGACTTCAGTGGAAAACTTGGTGAAATTTAGTAAGTCTGTAGTTTAGCTAATACTGTTTTATCACCATACATTTCTTAAGTATTAATATTCACCCTATGATTAAGTTAACATTAGTAAAGCTAAAATAGTTAATGAAAAGTTAAAAAGATTTGATTGACAGAAATCAAAATAGATGTGCAGGAAGATGTAAATTCAGTTAATCAAGTAGTTATTAAATGTCTATTTGTCCTGTAACATGGTCAACAATAGCCCCTATAGCAATTGTGTATTTGTGAACACTATACATATTAGTTCACCAAATATCGGAATATTAAATAGCTGAGACAAAATTTGAATCTTGAAAGAGACAATTAACTCTAGGTAGTGTGAAAGGAGAAATGATATCATTTTCATAGTTGAAGTCCCACAAAAAGCATAGTGCCTGCTGTCTAATAGCTGTTTAATCAATTTGTGTTGAACAAATAAGTAAGAGTAGATGAAAAGTTAATATTGAAGGGGTACAGCCCAATTCTTTCAAAGTATAATTTTATCAAATTGCACACTTATTGGGGGAAAAATTACTGCAGTCTCTCCTTATCCTCAAAGAATCTACAACCCCAGTGGATACCTGAAATTTCAGATACTACCAAACTTGATATATACTTTTTTCTATACATACATACTTGTGATAAAGATTAATTTGTAAATTAGACACAGTAAAAGATTAACAATAACCACTAATAAAATGGAACCATTATAACAATACTCAGAAATGCACAATTTAAAAACCTCTAATTTGTCTATTCCTGGAATTTTCCATTTAACATTTTTAGACTCGTTGACCAAGGGTAACTGAAACAACAGAAAGTAAAACCACAAAAAATGGGGGACTACTGTATACCATTTATTTTGTCCTAATATCTGATAATATTATCAGTGAGTGATAAGGCACATCTATAATAGATTTTATTACTTTTTTAAAACCTCTAATGTGACAGGTAACATTAGAGATGGTTTCTGTTGCTAGGAAAAATGTATTTTCTTTTCCCCATGAAAATATCTGTCTTGTTTCATTATGTAACAGTAAGAAGAGATTTGTTAAAGGATGCAAAATTACAGCTTGAGAAGAGGAATGTGTTCTATTGTTCTGTACTACCGTACAATGACTACAGTTAACAATATCATATTATGTAGGTTCAAACAGCTAGATGGAGGATACTGAATATTCCCAACACAAAGAAATGATGAATGTTTGAGATGATAGATATGTATAACCTGGTCACTACACATTATGTTTTGGAACACCACTATGTACTCCATAAATATAAACAGTTATTACTTGTCAATTAAAAGTAAGCCCCCCTTTAAAAACAAGAAATAAGGAGAATGTAACAATCACAGCAGAAAATAATTTAATTAGACAAGTCTGAGAGATCCTTCCAAGCTAGTGTTTGCCCAAGTATAATCCATGTAACGTGGGGCATTTTAAAAAATTTAATTTTATGGGTCAATACCAAACCTAATAAACCAGAATCTGTATAGTAGCATAGGCTAGGAAGCTGCTCTGAAACAAACAAACAAAAATAAATGATAATAATGTGAATACAATTGTGAGAAATATTGTATTTACTCATAAATTGATCATTAAATGGAAAGCATGAGTTTGATTTGTACCGTAGGTTTCTTGTTCATTTTCTTAGATGGCATACTTATTATCAGCCAATGATATTATGTATATACCATTAAGCACAATTAAAAATAACTGCCTGAGTTAAAAGTAAACACATCTATGATTGTTGACATGGATGGTAATGTAATTTCAACACATATTAACAGTATTAAGTCAATGAGTAGGAAAGCTTACTTCTGTTGCATAAGAGGGTTATCTGGGAAACAGTGGTTATCTGAGATACCCTAACATCATATGTCACCTTTATTTTCATAATGATTTAATTTTTCATAAATGTTTCATGTATACATCTACCAATAACATGTAAATAGCATGATTTTTAAAGCTACATCAATTGAATTTTTAAATAATATCTGCTGTTATTTAACTGAATACACAAAAATAAATATTATACATTTCCAAAGACTTCTATTGGAGACATACCCCAGACAAATTAAGAAGAGATCCTCGAGTACAATTAAGATAGGAATCTCAAGAGATTAAAGATGATAATTGTCTAACCTCTTTATTAGGTGAGTTTAAGTGTTTGAGGAAGAGTTGCAGGTATAAGAATACTGCTTAACGTATGAGATTTCAGAAGAAAATATTTTGTCATGGGATTGCTTTAGAAATACGCTAAGATCAAAACTAATTCTAAATAAGAATCTAGACGTGAACAAAAAATATAAACTTTCAATTCTCAAGAATGCACACAAAAACAAGTTAACAAGTTAATTTGGCTCTTATTTCTATCTTATCAATGGAAGATAATATATATAATACCCAGCATTATCATCAAAACCACCAATATTTTTCATCAACATCATAATATTTAGGGTCCATTATATAGGAAATAGAGCTCTGTGCTAAATAACTACAGTAACAACAACAACAGATCCAAGTCATTATGTTGACAATTCATGGGATTCAGAATTATAGATGAGGCAAATATAACAAACCTGAAAATAAATGGAAGATAACTGAAAAAAAGGATGTTTCGTTTGGATTATTGAATCCCAGGCATATCTAATTTTATTACCTTTTTTTCCCCTAAAATTTGCATGTCTGCCAGCCTGTGAGTATTATTTGCATGTTTCTCACATTGAGAAACTTTTTATTTTTTAATGTCTGCGTCTTCCATGAGGCTTTAAGAAAAATGCCCTTCATGACGAGCAAGACATTTGGTCTCACCTCACCCAAAGACAGAAAGAATACATGATAGGAGAAAAAGGTATAAGAAGTTTTAGCATTAACATGTCAAGTGAGCGGGATGTGTCTAGTTTTGTCTTTTCTATTTTTTTCTTAACAAAATCTAAAAAGCTTTACAGAGTCCAAGGAAATATTAGCTATGTCCGCCTAAGATTTTATTAAGCTCCTAAAATAATCCTGTGAAGTAGTTAGATGTTAAGAAAATAAGACTGCAACAAAAAGGAATTACTAAGTTCACAAATTGTAGAACTTCCTTTTCTAAATGGGTTTTTTATTTTTTCTAAGAGTATCATATAATTAATTTCATTAGATAAATTGCTGAGTATCATACAATTAATTTCATTAGATAAATCACCAATTAATTTCATTAAATTGCTATATTTGTTAGCTAAAATTAATTTCATTAGATAAATTACTGTATTCATTAGATAAAATTAATTTCATTAGATAAATTAGAATATTCATTAGATACAGTTATTTTCATTAAATTGCAAGACCCGATGTTAGACTGGGGCAGAGAATGGTACATCTCAGGAGGAATCTTTCGTCCTAGACATCCTTCCAGACACATGTTTTTTAGTCCACAAAATTGTGAACTTTGTTTTAATTAATGTCTGTCAATTTGTAAAAAATAAAAATTATGCATAAATCCCTAACTTGAAATCACTAAATTTTCCTTTCCATTTGTAACTCTTTCATTGTTGAAGTCTGAGTCAAATTTGATTATAGGGCCTTTAGATTTGAATCCTTCTCTAACTTTCCTTATTGTTATTGAGCAGGTAAGTCAAAGGCCTGAGTTGATATAAACAGCTGGCAGCAATTTCACTGAGGTGACTGTCTTCATCCTCTCTGGATATGCAAATCACCCTGAATTACAAGTCAGTTTTTTCTTGATGTTTCTCTTCATTTATCTATTCACTATTTTGGGAAACCTGGGACTGATCATGTTAATCAGAATGGATTCTCAGCTTCACACCCCTATGTACTTTTTCCTCAGCAATTTAGCATTCATTGACATATTTTACTCCTCTTCCGTAACACCTAAGACATTGGCGAATTTCCAATCCAATCAGAGATCCATCTCCTTTGTTGGCTGCTTTGTTCAAATGTACTTTTCTGTTGGATTGGTGTGTACTGAGTGTTTCCTGCTGGGATCAATGGCCTATGATTGCTATGTAGCAATCTGGAATCCCTCATTCAGTAGTCATTTCTTAGAAAGCGTGCAACTGGCTGGGAGTAATGTCATACACGATAGGTTTCACAAATTCTCTGGTATCTGTCTGTGTGATAAGTGGTTTTGTTCTGTGATTCCAGCATCAATCTTTTTTTTCTGTGACACCACAGCTCTTTTAGCACTGTCCTGTGTAGATGCATTCAGCACAGAAATGGTGAGCTTTGCCTTAGCTGGATTCACTCTTCTTGGCTCTATCCTTATCATCACAGTCACTTATATCGCCATCACCTCAGCCATCCTGAAGAACCAGTGGGCAGCAGGATGGCAGAAGGCCTTCTCCACCTGCGCATTCCACCTCATGGGTTAACTATCTTCTATGGGTCCCTGATTTTCACCTATTTGCAACTGGATAAAACATCATCCCTGATCCACGCACAGTTGGCATTTGTATTCTATATGACTGTCATTCCCATGCTGAATCCACTCATCTAGAGTCTGAGGAACAAAGATGTAAAAAATGCTCTTTGAGAGTCATACATAGAAAACTTTTTCCATGACAAATTTATGTATGTTATAATTAAAACAAACGTGGATGGCTTCAGTAATTCAATTATGCCAACAACTAGGAAAATAGCAGAGTAACATCAAAAAGCATAACACAAACTAAATGAGAACTTAGAGACTTGCAGTTTGTAAGTTTAATTATTATTTCATTATATGGACCACTAACACCCTGTATTTGGAGGTCAATTCAGAATATAAATTATTCAGACATAGACATGTACAAGGAAATAAGAGGCATCCGAACATTCATATGTGAGTATGCCATCACACTGAAACAGGTTCAAAATTATTACATTGAGAACATGCAATTTTTGTCATTCTGTGCCTGGCTTATATCACGTAACTGCATTGTTTGTATTAGACTGGTGCAAAAGTAATGGCAGTTTTTGTTATTAAAACAAAACAAAACAAACATAAAACAAACGGCAAAAGCCGCCATTACTTTTGCACCAACATAATAACTCAATGGATAAAGGCTTGGAAGACGGATAAACCATTTTCCAAGATGTGCTTATTTCACATTGCATGCCTGTATCAGAACATCGCATGTACCCCATAAATATACACATTTACTATGGACCCATAAAAAACTAAAAAATGTTTTAAAAACTAAAAAAAAAAATTAAATTGACAATATAATTTGACATTCTGTTTTCTCAGCTATTGGCAACTTGAGAGTAGAAAAATGGAAGATGAAGGAATAAGAACAGTTACATTTTACTAAAAATATTAAATGACAGCTGATCACCTGAAAGCAAAGAGTACAGAACTAAACAAACAAACAAAAAATAAAAATAACAAAGCAAATATTAGCCACAATGAAAAATGAAAGATTGAAATAATTTCAGTGCCATCACTAATGGAACAACAGATACCAGGCAGTATAGAGAAATCTCTTGATACTATGGAGTCATTTGCCCCTAACAGATGAGTTCTTCATCATATATGTATGAACACAATTTTAGATTACATAGAAAAGTGCTCTGTTTATGGCATATATTTTCTATAAAAAAAGGAGAGTTTAATTTATCATTAACTATAGATGTCTCATTGGTGGTAGCATAATTCCTAGAATATTTTGGATATATACAGAGACTCTTGCATCTCCAAATCAAACGGAAAAACTTTGTTAATTCTATAGCATTAAAGGAAGAAAATGTGTGTGTATTGTTCATGTGTGTGGGGTGGGAGAGGTGGTGCTTTCCTTGAAAAGAGACTTAAACCTGATTTAATGAACTCTCCCAGGTGTTTTTAGAAGATAACCATTGAAAAAGTTTTATCAGTACCGGTCTGGCCAACATTGTGAAAACCAGTCTCTACCAAAAATATATAAAAAGTACCCAGATGTGGTGGCACACACCTGTAGTCCTAGCTATTAGGGAGGCTGAAGCAGAAGAATCGCTTGAACCCAGAGGCAGACGCTGCAGTGAGCCAAGATCATACCACTGCACTTCAGCCTGGGCAATAGAGTGACACTCCATCTCTAAAAATAAATAAATAAAAATCAATCAATCAATATTTGTAAGATAAAAATAATTTTAACTCAAAATTTTAAAAAATTAGAATTATAATTTTATTAAGATTTTAATAACTTAATGACTAAGCATAACTGAGGTTAATCTTAGTCAAATAAGAAATAAAAAATTAACTTTACACTATTTTCATAATATGCCACAATAGGAATAATTCAGATCATCTATATAAGTGAAAAGTGACACCCAGATGAATAATGCAAATATTAAATTCTGGTATTATTAAACAGGTAACCATAAGAAAATACTTTTACTAGGTATTTTCATTACCTAGTCAAAGTATGCAACCTGATAAAGTAGGGGAAATAAAATAATAAAACACAAATAACTAAAATAACTAACGAATAAGCAAGTTAGTAAGTATTTGAACAAAATTTATCAAAAAAAGTTCATTTTTTTTATTGAGTCAAAGATGAAAGACAAAGAAAACAATAGTAAACATAATCCAGAAGAGAGAGAGAGATTGAGAGAGAGAGAATAGAAGGGGCATAAGTAACATGGTTTAAAACATAATGACTTAAGGCCAGGCACAGTGGTTCACACCTGTAATCCCAGAACTTTGAGAGGCCAAGGCAGCAACATCGCTTGAGCCCAGGAGTTCGGGACAAGCCTTTGCAACTTAGTGAGACCCTGTCTCTACAAAAAATAAGCCCAGCCTGGTAGCAAGCACCTGTAGTCCCAGATACTTGGGAGGCTGAGGCAGGAGGATCGCTTGAACCCAGGAGGTGGACGTTGCAATGAGTCAAGACAGCACAACTGCACTCCAGCCTGGGCAACAAAGCGAGACTCTGTCTCTAAATAAATAAATAATAACAAAAATAAAATATAATTACCTAGAGCATTACACTATATATCATTTAAATTGAGAGATTTAAAATCTCTGATCAGAATTAGGCTTTTGCCATGACATAGTAAATGGTAAAATAATTTTCTTGCCATTATAAACAACTCTGAACCTGAACAAAATAGTTTTTAACGTTAGAAAAAACATGAGCAAGAAAACCCCTTGTTCATGGCAACTTTGCAATCACCAAGTCTATTGAGGTGGCCTTGACGTAAAAAGTCACTTTTTGCCTCTTATTTGGCTTAAAACCTAATGATACCTATTGTCAAAGGGTGTGATTCTGGCTTTTTAATCTCCACATTAGCCTGTCTCAGGATCACTAAATTTCTGATGAACAGAATTGCTCTTCCAAAAACTCATCAAATGTACAATAAATACATACAAAAGTAGCCGCTTTATACATACCAACAAATTATCTCCTGAAATTCTAGATTATGGTCATGCTTCCTTCTAGACTCACTTTTAAATTTACATGAAAATTGATTTTATTATCATTACTTAACACAAAACCACATTAATATTTTACCCTGATTCACACTGTGTTTTCTTCCAGACTCTTCCTTTGCTTCCCCATCTTGGGCAAATAGTTCTCTGTACAATAGTTCAGCTCAATTTCTATATACTTTTAACCCATATTTAAGAAAAAATTTGACCTGATTATATATGGAGGAAGTAAGTTTTAAGCAACTAAATTCATTATAAAATGTTTATTGGTCTCAGGGCTGATTGTGTCCTTTTGCTCTCACTTTTATTTCATAAAAATTTAAAAAGTACATGAAAATAGCAAAACATATTGCACAAATATTTCATGTAGATGAATTAGGTGACACTGCCAAACCAGAATAAATCACCTGCATCACTTTTTTGGTAATGCTTCAAAATGTCTACTTATCAGCTGGTAAACAGTTAGTTAACTTAGTAAGTTATCCCCGGGGCACTAGCCAAAACCTGAACCATAGAATTGTAGGGTTTATAAAAGGTTAATATAACACAGTTCATGGCATAGCAAAAAATTTTGGTTATCAGATGATGAAAATACACTGAATATATAGTATTATTATGCAACCTATACATACATGTACATATAGGAATTAAGTGCACAAAAGAAAATAATTAGTAAAAATTATACTGTTTACAAAATGTTAACAGTTTAGAATTATTTTCATTTTCTTTTTTGAATTTTGTTATATTCTGATTCTTTTTTTTTTTTTTTTTTTTTTTTTTGAGACAGAGTCTCGCTCTTTTGCCCAGGCCGGACTGCAGTGGCACTGTCTCGGCTCACTGCAAGCTCCGCCTCCAGGGTTCACGCCATTCTCCTGCCTCAGCCTCCTGAGTAGCTGGGACTACAGGCGCCCGCCACGGTGCCCAGCTAATTTTTTGTATTTTTAGTAGAGACGGGGTTTCACCGTGTTAGCCAGTATGGTCTCGATCTACTGACCTCGTGATCCGCCCGCCTTCGCCTCCCAAAGTGCTGGGATTACAGGCGTGAGCCACCGCGCCCGGCCGATTCTTTTCTAATTAACATGTTTACTTCTATGATAGTATCATACATTTAAATATACAAAATTTTAATTGAAAAAAATGTGTTATTCCATCTTTGATGGTGTCAGAGAATAATTATTTTTCTGGAAATGGCTTCTCCACCATCCCAGTAAAATATTGAAAACATCACAAGAAAAGACCAATCCATAATTTCCTTCATTTGTGTGGCTTGTAAGGTAAAAAGGAAAACCTTTGCTCAAAATCTATCGTGGCTGTTTTATTCCTTGCACCTTTATCCTTGGAAACATACCAAGCAATTCTTCATTGGAAATTGGTCCACAGGGACTACCAAAAGGTGCATTATCATCAGCCCCTCATATATTAGGTACTCTGGAATTATCAGAGTGAGAGGTAAAGAATAATCTACCTATAGTCACAGAGATTCCCAGTGTTCTTTTGACACACAACTTCCTGGTAATCTTTCCATTTGACCAGGACCTAAACGAAATTTCTAGGTTGGTTTTTTGACACAGAATAAAACAAAATGAATGCACAAAAATGTAAAAACAACTTATCTCAAGGAAAACAAATATTATATCGGAGAAAATTTTATCTCCTTAAATGGTTTTCATATTTTATTTATAAGAAAAATTGAGGTTGACAAATTTCTAGACAGATAATATGAGAAGAAAGCTTTTTCACCAACTTTGGCTCAGACACGGTAAGTATTATTCTCAAAATTGGAAGATTTTATTTCAGATGAAATTAATTCAGGACTTTATCATAAGAATATACATATACATGTCATCTAGTCCTTACCCTGAGTAATGTCCGGGTTTGTGAAAAGAGATATGTAGAGTTGATGGAATCAGAGTCTACAAGCAAAGTACATATTTTGATCATATAATTTTTGGAAGAAATTTGATTTTGATTGGTTAAGTTACTAAAACATCATATTTGTATAAATTAATACTTATATATGGTCTATAATTTTAATGTATCCTGCTAAAATCCTTAAGTGTGAAATTTATTTAAAATTACCATTAAATAATATTAGAAACAAAGGGGCAGTAAATAATCTATTAAAAACTGTTTCCTCTCATTGTTTATTACATGTTTAGCTCTTTCTCAGGTTTTCTGAAATTATTTATAAACAGGAGTATAGTATTATAAGCCTTCTCTCTGAAGTCAACATATGTTGGCAGAATCAGCGTCAACATTTAATTGTTCTGACTTTGGATAAGTTACTCAAACCTTCCATACTCTTTTTTTCTCGGCTAAAATATGTCGATAATAGTAGTATCTATGGCATAGTATTTTCTTGTGGATTAAATGTATTAATAAAGGAAGGCATTCAGAACAAGGTCAGGTTCATTCTAATTATGCAATATGTTACATTTTATTATATCACATCTAAATGTTAATTTACACTTTTATCTACATTGGCAATATAATTCCGTTTTAAGGTCACATTCTATAAATGTATTAGCAATTTATAGAAACACTAAATGAATTAAATGCTAGGTTATTGTATAATCAGAAACCTTTTGAAGTCATTCATGTTAAGTATCAACTTTGATTTCTCAGCAGTTTAAAGCAATTGAACATCATGGGTAGAAGAAATAACACAAATGTGCCTGACTTCATCCTTACGGGACTGTCAGATTCTGAAGAGGTCCAGATGGCCCTCTTTATACTATTTCTCCTGATATACCTAATTACTATGCTGGGCAATGTGGGGATGATATTGATAATCCGCCTGGACCTCCAGCTTCACACTCCCATGTATTTTTTCCTTACTCACTTGTCATTTATTGACCTCAGTTACTCAACTGTCATCACACCTAAAACCTTAGCGAACTTACTGACTTCCAACTATATTTCCTTCATGGGCTGCTTTGCCCAGATGTTCTTTTTTGTCTTCTTGGGAGCTGCTGAATGTTTTCTTCTCTCATCAATGGCCTATGATCGCTACGTAGCTATCTGCAGTCCTCTACGTTACCCAGTTATTATGTCCAAAAGGCTGTGTTGCGCTCTTGTCACTGGGCCCTATGTGATTAGCTTTATCAACTCCTTTGTCAATGTGGTTTGGATGAGCAGACTGCATTTCTGCGACTCAAATGTAGTTCGTCACTTTTTCTGCGACACGTCTCCAATTTTAGCTCTGTCCTGCATGGACACATACGACATTGAAATCATGATACACATTTTAGCTGGTTCCACCCTGATGGTGTCCCTTATCACAATATCTGCATCCTATGTGTCCATTCTCTCTACCATCCTGAAAATTAATTCCACTTCAGGAAAGCAGAAAGCTTTGTCTACTTGTGCCTCTCATCTCTTGGGAGTCACCATCTTTTATGGAACTATGATTTTTACTTATTTAAAACCAAGAAAGTCTTATTCTTTGGGAAGGGATCAAGTGGCTTCTGTTTTTTATACTATTGTGATTCCCATGCTGAATCCACTCATTTATAGTCTTAGAAACAAAGAAGTTAAAAATGCTCTCATTAGAGTCATGCAGAGAAGACAGGACTCCAGGTAATTAAAATAGCAGGAATGCTGAACATTTAAACTCATCTTTTCTTTCTTTTCTATTTGGTATGTCCTTGGTCTCCCTATAAAAACAATTGAATCCTTCATGTTTGCATTTCTGTTGTGCTAACCTTTGCTTGACTAAACGTGATCTTGAACATTTCAAGGTGTATGTTTTCAGAAATCCAGATTGTAATTAGAAATCATAATATGTGTTGGCCGGGCACGGTGGCTCATGCCTATAATCCCAGCACTCTGGGAGGCCGAGGTGGGTGGATCACATGAGGTCAGAAGTTCAAGACCAGCCTAGCCATGATGAAATGTGGTCTGTAGTAAAAATACAAAAAATTAGCTGGGTGTGGTGGTGCATGCCTGTAATCCCAGCTACTTGCGGGGCTGAGGTAGGAGAATCGCTTCAATCTGGGAGGCAGAGGTTGCAGTGAGCCGAGATCGTGCCATTGGACTCCAGCCTGGGCAACAAGAGCGAAACTCCGTCTCAAAACAAAACAGAACAAAACAAAACAAAACAAAAAATAATAATATGTGTGTCATATTTACAGTCTAAATATATGTTTTTAGAAGCAACTGATGTGGAAAATAAGAAAATATGGTTGTCCTTTAAAATTATATTACACAAATTCCTATGCATACTTCAGTTGTAGGTAAATTTATTATGGAAAACAACGATTTGGGGCACAGTGATAACAGTCTCAGAAGTTATTTCATTTATTATATGGGGAAGAATTATAACAGAGTCTTTAGGAGTACTGTTTTGAAATAAAGTTTTCCAAGAGTTAGATTCTAAATATGCTACATTTTCAGCTATACAACCCAGAATATGTTACCTAAAATTTAAAACTCTCTTTCCTTAAGTGCACAAGATAAATAATAACTCCAAATTTGATCAGAGAGTAGCTGTAAAGTATTTAAGGTGACAATAATCAATGCTGCCTATTCTCATTAGAAGACTTGCATTCCAGCACAATGCCTTTTGTGAAGGATATTCACTTGTGTTTTACAAATTACTTTTGGTTAATTTAATTTACAGGCACACAAGCAACTAAAAAGGAAAAAAAAAGATAATATCAGTAGTTCACAATTTGGACTTTAGGAAATAAAATATTTTGATAAAATTAAGTTATAATAAAATAGCATATATTGTTAGAGAAAATTTGAAAAATATTATAAAATATTAAGGAAAATAGAAACCCTCAAAATATTGAGTTTTGGCTGTTTTGCTTATGGCATAGCCATTCTTTTGTTTCTTTATTTTTCTAATAAACTTGTTTTCAGTTTAAGAAAAACAAATATCGAGTTTTGTGCATGTTCTTCGAGATCAATAGTTTTGAATATGTGCATGTGTATAACATATGTAAACTAAATATCACTTTCTGTGTACTGATTTTCAGCTTTCTGTATCCATTTACAAGTTTAACATTGGATAATCTCTTTGTCATTGACAACGCTAATATAAATTTTTTCTTGGTACATAGGCAAAATCAAGACTCATTTCACAATGTTTTGGACTTGAAATATTAACTCACCACATTAAAAATCTACATGCAGTGATATCTCTTTTGTGTGTTAAACATTTGAAAACTTGACTTCTGTAAAGAGTCAAACTGTTTCTTTGTTAAAATTCTGTGTGTTTTTAAAAATCATTGCCTTGCTCCTGATGTGTACAAGTTTTAGTTTTAAAAATAAATCCTTGAATTAAATGCTTTATTCATTGATTTTTACATTTCTTAATACAGAAAAGTTGTAAAGCAAAGAATTGACGATGAATTCAGATGTTGTGACATCTCATAAACTTTAGTCAGGCAGAGTGATAAAAGGTCTTTTATTTTTAAATTTTTCTTTTACGTATTCTGGAATCACAGTATTGTTTTTCTGTGCTATTTAAAGGTTATTTTAGAAGCTATTTTCCATTTTCCAAGTATTTGATTTTTTATTTAAATTTTTGTAACAGTTACTAGATTGTTTTCATTCAAGCAATTTTTTTTTACCTTTTGAAATTTGTTTTCTTTGTAAAATTGTCCTCTTTGTTTTTTAAGTGCTTTATGGATGTTTAAAATAGAATGTAACCTCCATTTTGAGTTAATATTTTAATGTTTTTTCAGTAATTCAAACTGTCAACTAACTTATTCAGATCTTTTAAATATATATTATTTCCTCTACTTTCTTAATTTATTTCAAAACTTTGCCTTATCAAATACTAATGCTATATAAAATTATTATGATCTAATTTTTGCTTTGATATCCATGTCGTCCAGAATATATATTTATAGGTTCCCCTATTTGTTTTCGTTTGCAATTAGAAACAAGTATGTAGTAGGAATTTATTGTTTAATAATATGTTTTTTGGCTCATTCTCATCTTATAAATGCATGATATAATTTCATGTATTTATAGGCTCTTTCCATTTTTCTAGTCATTTTTATAAGCTATGGTTTTATCTTGCTTTCATTTATGTCTATTTCTATGATTTAGAAAATGGATCCTGTCAATTTGAGTTACAAAGATGGCCAACAGAATCTATCACTTTGTAGACAACACTTATGCTGAGAAATTGCTTAAATTCTATTTTAATTAGGACTACCTTATCCTCTTCATTGTATAAGCTAAAATGTATTCACATAATATTATAGAAAAGTATACAATAATCTATGTGCAATATGAAAGATTTAGACTGTTCACATTTGACTTATACTTTCGCTATTATAGTGATGTAAACTATATTTTATGTAAGATATTGTCTAATTTAAGGCATAGTCCTCTGATTCATAGTGTCATGCCAAAGTGCCATATAACATAAATACAAAAAAACCCTGTAATTCAGCATAGCAAAATATGAACAGCTATTTTTTCTTTCAAATAATGATGGCTAGATGAAAATAATAATAATTTTTTTTTCTGAGCACTGTTCAGACAATATTCAATGGGCTTTAGATATATAATTAACATACTTTATCATTATAATTTAACTGCCAGGTCAGTACTAGCAATATCTAAATTTTAATCACACATTAATGGAAAACCACCCTTTACTTGGTCAAGCAAAGATTTAAGAATTATGTTGAAGTAATGTGATTATTATGCATTGTCTTCCTGCATCAAATTATCTCATATACTCTAAATATGTATCTATTATGTACCCACAAAAAAAGTCAAATTAAGAATTTTTAAAAAGTAAATAAAACACAGAGGAGCTCCAGAACTGGGTAAATATAGGCTTTAGCTTAAGCTGAAACAGAGCATTCAAGCCAGCAATGGGTGGGCCTGGGGCCTTTACTTGGCTTGAAGTGAGGACACTGCCCTCCTCTCCTGAGGACTCATTTGTACACTCAGCTCATATTATTATGTAATTCTTGTCACCTTTCAATAACTTTTCTTACAAGCCTAACTATTTCTTTCAACTCTATGTGGCCAGGAGAGGCTTTCTGTAACTGTTTCAGATATAGACACACATCTTAGGGAGAACTGTCTGCGAGTGACAGCTTTCTCAGCCACAAGTCAGAGAGGTGGAGAAATCATTTTAAATTCTGGGCATTCGATCAAATATTCAGAAAAGGACACTTTGCCCTTTGAAAGTTGAACAATAAGCAGAAGTGCAGCCTGGGAAGCAAATGTACTTCTGATTATTTAAACTGAAGTTCTAGAGAGGACGGGATAGTCAGTGGTTCCAGCAACTTCAATGGGGGAATTTCAGGCTAATGCAGAAAACAAATGCAAAGGAATATCAAAGTAGTCCTGGTAACATCAGAATCCTATTGATACACTCACATCTCGGAAAGTGTTTGTCTCAGACTTTTGCAATTAATATCTGCAAACTGTGTTTGCAGTTTGAATGGTTTTCATCAATTAGTAAGAATCTATACCCATGTCCTTGTGTTTGCTTTTCTTTTGTATCATCAGCTCATAGACATTTAATGCAATACTAAGAAAACATGCTCTCTCCCCACCGAAAAAAAAAGAATTATCTTGGAATTTTATTTTTATTAAACACACTTTACTTCCATTCAATTAATATATTAAAGTTCTTCTAAATATGGAATACATTTGGTGTCTGAACACATTTTTTGCTACCATCCTGGCCCAGATAACTGTCTTTTTAGTGTCAGAATTATTGCTGTAGTGTGGTAGCATGCATGTAATTTTATTCTTATTCCTCTTGAGTTGAATCTCTATATAGGAGCCAGAGTTATACTGTTAAATAGTAGGTTGGATTATATCATTTCTCTTCACAAACCCTATACAGTATTTCCTCACACTAAAAATAAAAACCAAGAACTTTATAAGTGTTCATTGGTTGAAAATGATGTCCTCAATTCTTAAGTCTATGAACTTATTTCTTATTATTCCACCTGTCACACTTACTTTGTCTCTATTCCATTATCTCCCAGCTCTTCGCTGTAAATAGTATTACTAACACTGCCTGAAGTTTTCCATTTTCTCTTCTTCCTGAAGCTTCCTTCCCACAGATAACTGCATGATTTTTTAAAAAATTTTTATTTCCATACATTTTTTGGGGAACAGGTGGTATTTGGTTACATGAGCAAGCTTTTTAGTGGTGATTTGTGAGATTTTGGTGCACCCATCTCCAGAACAGTATACACTGAACCCAGTTGTAGTCTTTTATCCCTTACCCCCCTCTTACCCTCTCCCTCAAGTCCCCAAAGTCCATTGTGTAATTCTTATGCCTTTGCATCTGCATAGCTTAGCTCCCACTTATAAGTGAGAACATACAATGTTTGGTTTTCCATTCCTGAGTTACTTCACTTAGAATAATAGTCTCCAGTTCCATCCAGATTGCTGTTAAAGCCATTAATTCATTCCTTTTTATGGCTGAGTAGTATTCCATCATATATCCATATATATGGAATATATACACATAGAGCAATATTTTCTCCACTCATTGATTGATGGGCATTTAGGATTCTTTTCTTAACAAAAAAAAATCCCTTACACCCTATTAAAGGCATTAACAAAATAATAGAGGTTATTAAAGGGGATATGCTGCTGATAAACATTCTCTAGGGCTGTTGATAGAGGAGAGTATGATTTTGGCAGTACTAGCTAAATCTCAGATGTATAGGTACAGTCCTATTTACAGAAAAAGCACTCAATAAAGGAAAGAACAGTTTATCAGATGATGGGATGGTGCTGGGGAGAGAATTTGTATTTAATCAGGATACAGGCTTTTCTGATGTTAAAGAAAAAAAAAAGGATTCAGAAACAGAGTGACCCAACAACAACAAAGTATCCTTAAATATAACCTGCAGAGTGTTCTTTGTTTTATTCTTATTACTCTTGACCTGACTAGACTTTGTGGGGAGCTGTTTTTCACAAGGCAATCTTAGGACACAGGTTCTTCTATGTTATTGCTCTATTATCTCCCTGATGTCTTCTTCTATGTTGTTGAAGAGAGTTAATCTAGTACTTTGCCCACATTCTAGTCTGAGAGAAAGGTGAGATTTTTTGACAGTAAGGAAGACAATTCCAAACGTTGTGTTCATATGGATGGTTTTTAGAACATATTCAATTTTTTAAGTAGACATAGGACTACCCTGGTTACCCCTTTCTTCTGATGTAAGCTTCTTTACATTTTTCATTTGTATTTTTCATTTAATTGTCAATTTTATTAGCAAAATGTTGTTTATAATGTTCTTATTTTCCTTGTCATATTTGTAGGGACCAGAGTAAAATACCTTATTTCATTCCTGATATTGGTTATATTTCTCTTCTGTCTTCTTAGTGTTGACCCTGGATTATAAAAACATGTTTTATGTATTATAGTTTACCTAAAATAATCTATATCTCAACTTTTCACATAAGACCTTTAGAGTAAAGTCAGATCTCTCCCATTCCTTTTGCTATATTTGTCATAAATTTTACATTTACCAAAATGTTTAAAGAAGAACTAATACCAATCCTACTTAACTATTCCAAAAACTAGAGGATGGGTACTTCCAAACTCATTCTACAAGTCCAGTATACCAAAACCAGACAGACCCATTGAAACAAACAAACAAACAAACAAAAAAGAAGCTATAGGTCAAATCCCTGATGAACATCAATACAAAAATTCTCAACAAACTACTAGCAGACCAATTTCAACAACGGTTTAAAAATATCATTGATTATGTTGAAGTGGGAATTATCCCAGGCATGCAAGTATTTTTTGATATACACAAATCAATCAAAGTGATACATGATATTGACAGAATGAAGGACCAAAAACATGAACATTTCAATTGATACTGAAAAAGGATTTGATAAAATTCAACATCCCTTCATGACAAAAACCCTCCAAAAACTGAGTATAAGAGGAACATAACTCTATATAATAAAAGCCATGTATGTCAGACCCACAACTAGTAACATACTGAATGGCAAAAAAAACTGAATGTTTTTCCTCTAAGATCTAGAACACGACAAGAATGCCCATGTTCAACATTATTATTTGAAATAGTACCGGAAGTCCTAACTGGAGAAATCAGACAATAGAAAGAAATAAAGAGGATTTAAATTGAAAAGAAAGGAGTCAAATTATTCTTATTTGCAGACGATATGACCTTATATTTGAAAAAACCTAGAGACTCCACCAGAAAACTAATTAAAAAGCTGATAACAAATTCAATAAAGTTGCAGGATAAAAAATCAACATAAAAAATTAGTAGCATTTTGAGGACTAAGCTCTAATTGTTTTATCTTGCCCACATTCTTATCTAAATGATCTGGGTAGTCATGTCCTAGAAACCATAGATTTTTCAGCAGATGGGTTTTATTTAACCCTATGTATCATAACTTACTTTCCAAACTGACTCTGGCATAACATTATGAAACAAGGAAGAAAATCAAAATATTTTACCCCAAAACATATGTCTTTGCCATATCTTGAAAGGCCCTGTAAAGCTGTCCTTAAAGGAATATTTCCATCTGTAAAGAATCTCTATTAACATAGATATATGTTTTTTCTTCCAGGCCCTCCCAATCCTAATGAGATAAATTAAAAGTCTAGCACCTTTTAAAGATCTAAATAGGAAACATTTGTCATCTATTGTCTCTAAGGGCAGACACTATAAGACTTCAAAAGAACCTTGGTCTCCACAATCTTTTATCTTAATCTGAACATTTCCTTTCTATGGATTCCAGATCTTTAGACAAACTCAACCAATTATCAACCAGAAAATGTTTAAATTTACCTATAGCCTGAAACCTGCTGCCTCCCACTGTTTGACTTGTCCCACCATTTTGGACCAAACCAATGTATTTCTTAAAAGTATTTGATTGATGTTTCATGCCTCCCTAAACTGTATAAAAACCAAACTCTGCCTTGACCACCTTGGGCACATGTTGTCAGGACCTCATGGGGGCTGTGTAATGGGCAATGGCCACCCATATTTGGCCCTGAATAAATCTCTTCAAATATTTTACAGAGTTTGACTCTTTCTTTTGACCATTTCTATACACTGCAAACTGAAAATATTGATGACAGGTCTCAGTCAATTTAGAAAGTTTATTTTGCCAAGGTTCAGGACACCCCTGTGACACAGACTCAGGAGGTACTGATGACATATGCCCAACGTGGTCAGGGTAAAACTTGGTTTTACACATTTTATGGATACAATGCATCAATCATATTTTTACATTGGTTCAATGTGGAAAAGTGGAACAACTTGAAGAAGGGGAAGGTCATAGATAGATTTAAAGATATTCTGATTGGTAATTGTCTAAAACAGTTATTATCAATAGAAAGGAATTTCTGGGTTAAGATAAGGAGTTGTGGAGACCAAGGTTTTATCATGCAGATGAAGCCTCCAGGTAGCAGGTTTAGAACAGATTGTAAATGTTACTTATCAGACCTACAGTCTGTGTTGATGTTAATACTGGAGGAGTATAGTGAGGCACATAGGACCCTCACTTACAGTCATGGCCTGATCCAGTCTTTGAGGTTAATTTTAGAGTGCCCTGGCCTAGGAGGGAGTCCATTCAGATGGTTGTGGGATGAGGAAGGGGATTTGAATTTTATTTTTGGATTACAATGTCAGTAGCAATCAATTCAAAAGTAAAAATAAAAAGTCTGCAATATTTACAAATAAAGTTAAATACTTAGGAATTAACTTAACCAAAGAAGTGAAAGAGCTGTACCATGCAAACTATAAAACATAAATGAAAGAAATTGAGGAGGACACATGATAAAAGAAAAACTTCAGCCAAATTAAATTTAAAGGAATTTTGTTAAGCAAAGAATGATTAGCAAATTGGGCAGTCACTGAAGCCAGAGTAGGCTCTGAGATTCCAGTGCAGCCACATGGTGGAAGATTTATGGATAGAAAAAGAAAATGACATACAGAAAACAAAAGTGAGGTATAGAAATAGCTGAATTGGTTATAGGTTGGTGTTTGCCATGTTTGAACATGGTTCAAACAGTTGGCTCCATTTGATTGGCCAAAACTTGGTGATTGGCACAGATGTAGGCTTCAGTCTGTTTACACCTCCACTTGTTCTAGTTTGTGATGTACAAAGAAACCTTTTGGCCAAAGTTAAAATACGTAATGAGGCAGCTTCAGGTTAAACTCGATTTAATAATTTCTCTCTTTGGTCATCTCAATTTTTAAAGGTGGACAAAAAGTTTAGTAATTGATGTCAGTTTCACCAGTATAAATGTACTTATTTGGGCTTGAAAGCCACTGGGAAATAGCAAAACAGTAGGTTTTGTAAGATGGGAACAGGGACTTCAGGTTATTTATTCATTTTTTTGAAAGGGTTAGAATAGAGGGTACCTCCTTATGCTGGAACATCCTTTTTACAGGAGAGAAAACAAAACCTGGTGTGTTCTAGGATCTAAGCGTATCCTTAAAGTCTTAGCTTAATTATGTCACATTTAGCATGAATGACTCCATTTTGGTTTAGTCTGGTCTGTTGGGGCCTAGTGCATAAGCTCAGTCCAAAACAATGACCGCTCATAATTTTGTTTAAAAATTTTCCACTTTTGTTCATGTTCTCAGGTGAGATTGCGACAAACACTTAGGGCCTAAGCACCACTCTCAGTTACCACCATTTTGGGTTTCCAGTCTCATCATGTCTCTCATAAGTTACGGTGCCCATATGGTCACACATTTCTTTCAGGTCTTGTCATTCCAGTTGAAGAGACACCATTTGACATTCTAAGGATGGCTCCATGCAAACATTTAAAATTTTTAAGATAATACAGTGCACCAGGGAAACTACTATTATCAGGAGGATAATACCAAGAGTTTGGAGTATGCTCCTTACCCAGGTTCCCCCTAAACCAAACCACCTAAAATCAAAAAGATAAAAGAATGAGCTAAAAAGTCTACTCACTTTACTAAGCAGTCTCTTTGTTAATCCCCTCTATAAGACCTGATGTGATATATTTCTCCATAGGCCACAAGTGCCAGCAGCTACACAGATACTTCTCTGTTTAGCCAGTAAGTAATGTAGAGCAATTCTATTATTTAGCATAACTTTTACAAGAGAATTTAAAGTCTGTTGTATAATCATCACCTATACAATAGAATCTGCTATAGAGCCTATCATGAGGGATACATTCCTAATCATTGCGTCTTTTACTTAAAACCATGGAAAAAGAGGACCTAACAAATGATGCCATTCTAGTAAAGGGCCTACTTTTAATGTTCTCTTTAACCTGTGAGGTAGGTTAAAAGGAGTGAACCAATGTTCTGTTTCTGACTGATTTTGAGGCAACATATGTACCATTAAAATTTCTCATCTACCTTGGGCCTTCGTTTTCCATCTATCAAGGTATTAGGTTATCCATGTATAAGGCTGGCTTCAAAATCCTTTACAAATAAAAGTATACCCCATGAGTGCACACAACATACTCCCATTTCACTTCTATTGTTCATAGAGACTTAAGCAAGGGAAAAAAAGATTCAAAGATAAGAGTCTCATGATAGTAGAGAAATCTTCATCTGTGATCTTGGGAAAAAGCTGTTCACATCAAAGATGCTATCTTCTTCTGTGGAGAAACATCCCTGGTTACCTTTACCTTAAGGGTTCCAAAGGGAAGTGTACAATTTCACTTGTGTGGACGGACCCTTCTGAGTTGTGAGATTTTGAACCCAAGATTCAAGGTATTGAAGTTTTGCTACAGTGTGGATGACAAGGGCAGTATTTCTCTGATGTTCTCAAAAGATCCAGTCTTTGGGTTCTAGATTGTAAAGGGGTTTATTGTCCTCAGTCAGCAAACTATAAAAAAGCTTTCTTTACCTGGTGAACATATACTGTAGCATAATAATCTACTGTTATAACATCAGCCCTCTTGTATGAGAAAACTTTTATACAACCAAAACCCATGCATTGAAAATGACAATTGTATGAAGTCCCTCTATAAATGTTTGAGTGATCCATCAGGTAGTGAAATGTACCTGAAGCTTTGATTGTTTTCCTAGGAATATGGGTTTGACAAACCAAACATTGGTCATAAACTATTTCAGCAATTTAGAAGTCACCACACCAATATATATTTAATTTGGATCATTTTATCTTTTGCATGATGAGTCACAGAATGCAGAACTCTTAACAACAAAGCTTTAGGGACTCAGGAAGGACAAGGTGGCTTTCCTGGTTCTCCACAAGTCCAGGCTTAACATTAAACTTGTGTCCTCTTGAATATCAGTTGTTTCTCCAATTTAGGTGCATAGCACTGATAACTGATGGGTTATCGTAAGTAAATTGACTCAGACCATGGAGTTCATTCAAACTGTATATCTAAACAATTGTAGTAATGGCTGATGTAGCATAAAAATCTGGCAAAGTATTTTCTTGCTATTCAATTATTCTTTGTTCTACTTGGGTTTGCAGTTTTATAAACCAGTTAGTCCTTTCATTAAAGTTGAGGAAATTCTCACCCAGTCCAAATGATATGATTCTAAAGTTATCAGAAAGCTGTATTTATTCAAGAATGAGTGCTTTTCAGGGTCCTTTCTATCCTTTCATGAACCTCCTAAAAGATACCATATTCTAGGATTTTGTGTGCTTGTGAGGTTTTCAGAAACTGCATCAGAATTAAACAATTAATCATGGAAATGACTTTAAATAGTCATAGTAACAGACAACTGACAAAAAAATTTGGTTACTTCTGTGTTCTAAAATAGCTTAAATAATGACCATAATTATGACTGATAGCCTACACTAAGACATATTCAAATTTTAGAAATTTCATCCATCAATGCATGTAAAATTCCATTGGTTTGATGTGGAAGGGTGGGACAACTTGAAGCAGGAGGTGGGGAGGGGTGGGACTTCCAGGTCATTGGTAGATTTGAGTAGATTCTGATTGGCAATTGGTTGAAAGAGTTGTTTTCTGTAGAAAGAAATGTCTGGATTAAGATAAGGGATTGTGCAGACCAAGGTTTTATCATGCAGTTGAAGCCTCCAAGTAGCAAGCTTAGAATAGATTGTAAATGTTTCTCATGAGACTTACAGTCTGTGTTGATGCTAGCACTGGAGGATTATAATGAGGCACATCAGATCCTACTTCCAGTCATGGCCTAATCTGGTCTTTCACATTAAATTTTAGAGTCCCCTGCCCGAGGAGGGAGTCCATTCAGATGGTTGTGGGGAAGGGTGGGGTGCGGGGGTTTGAATTTTATCTTTGGTTTACGATGCCAATAGCAATCAATCTGAAAAAGAAATTTAAAAATCTACAATATCCATAAATAAAGTTAAATACCTACGAATAACCAAAGAAGTGAAAGATCTGTACCATAAAAACTATAAAATGTTGATGAAATAAATTGAGTAGGACACATAAAATGGAAAGATATTCCATGTTCATGAACTGGAAAAATCAATATTGTTAAAATGCCTGGGCTACCAAAAGCAATCTATAGATTCAATGCAATTCCTATCAAAATACAAATACATTCTTTACAAAAATAAATAAGAACCTTAAAATTTATATGAAAACACAAAAGACCCAGAATAGCCAAAGCTATCATAAGCAAAGAGAAAAAAAAAATGGAGAAATAACATTGTAGGGTCCAGCCCCACAGGGTTGGTGGGTTTTCTCCTTGTGTGCAGAGATGAGAGAGCATAGAAATAAAGACACAAGACAAAGAGATAAAAGAAAAGACAGCTGGGCCTGGGGGACCACTACCACCAAGACACGGAGACTGGTAGTGGCTCTGAATGTCTGGCTGTGCTGTTATTTATTGGATACAAAGTAAAAGGGGCAGGGTAAAGAGTGTGAGTCATCTCTAATGGTAGGTAAGGTCATGTGGGTTACGTGTCCACTGGACAGGGGGCCCTTCCCTGCCTGGCAGCCAAGGCAGAGAGAGAGAGGGAGAGAGAGAGACAGCTTGCGCCATTATTTCTGCATATCAGAGACTTTTAGTACTTTCACTAATTTTGCTACTGTTATCTAAAAGGCAGAGCCAGGTGTACAGGGTGGAACATGAAGGCGGACTAGGAGCGTGACCACTGAAGCACAGTATCACAGGGAGACGGTTAGGCCTCAGGATAACTGTGGGCGGGCCTGACTCATGTCAGGCCCTCCACAAGAGGTGGAGGAGTAGAGTCTTCTCTAAACTCCCCCAGGGAAAGGGAGAATCCCTTTCCTGGTCAGCTAAGTAGCGGGTGTTTTTCCTTGACACTGAGGCTACCGCTAGACCATGGTCAGCTTGGCAACGGGCGTCTTCCCAGACGCTGGCATTACCGCTAGACCAAGGAGACCTCTGGTGACCCTGTCCAGGCAAAACAGAAGGCTCGCACTCTTGCCTTCTGGTCACTTCTCACTATGTCCCCTCAGCTCCTACCTCTGTATGGCCTGGTTTTTCCTAGGTTATGATTATAGAGCGAGGATTATTATAACATTGGAATAAAGAGTAATTGCTACAAACTAATGATTAATGATATTCATATATAATCATGTCTATGATCTAGATCTAGTATAACTCTTATTGTTTTATATATTTTATTATACTGGAACAGCTCGTGCCCTCGGTCTCTTGTCTCAGCACCTGGATGGCTTGCCACCCACATAACATTATCTGACTTCAGATTATACTATGGAACTCATTTTCAACAAAGGTGCCAAGAAAATACATTGGGGAAAGGAGAGCCTCTTCAATAAATGGTGCTGGGAAAACTTACTTTAGCACCCATTATAGAGTTATGTAGGAACACATGAAGCCATAGAATCCAGAGGACATCATTATTAACATAGCCAGTGAAAATCAAGTTATACAAAAACTAAAAACAGCAATGTTTGCACATCAATGAATATTTAATGCAGATTAGTTTAAACATTGTCATAGGCTATGAATACAAGCCATATTTTATACATGATACAATATATTGATATTTCTAAAATGGTGAATTAGTAGGCTGATTGATGCTTTATTTGAAAATATTCTAGAAGTTACAAGCACTGTTAACTAAAAGAAACACATTTTCTTCTCTACTTTCTGACCATAGAGATGTGGACTGACACCCAATATTATTTGCAACTTTACTCAATTTTAAAACTATAACTTATTTATGAACCAATTTCTCACAAGCAATCTTTTGATTGCCTCCTTTACATCTTTGTTCCGCAAACTGTAGATGATGGGATTCAGCATGGGAATCACAATGGTATAAAATATTGACACTATCATGTCATTGTCCGAAGTGTAGCTGGAACTTGGTCTCACATACATGAAGAGGATTGTCCCATGATAAATTGTCACTCCAGTTAGGTGAGCTCCACATGTAGAGAAGACTTTTCTCCTCCCTTCAGCAGACTGCATCTTCAGAATGGCCAACAGAATAAAACCATAGGAGATCAGGACAATCAGGATAGTGACTATCTCAATAGAGCCCACAAAGTAGAAGAATAGAAGCTGGATTACGTGAGTGTCAGAACAAGAAATAGCAAGCAGAGGAGGCATATTACAAAAGACATGCCTAATTTCATTGGATCCACAGAAGGACAGGCTAAATGTAGCCACTGTATGTATAGTAGCATGTAAAATGCTAGCAACATAGGAAGCAGTGATGAGTGGCACATAGACTCTGGGTGACATGCTCACTGAATACAGGAGAGGGTTGTAGATGGCTACATAGCGATCATAAGCCATTGCAGCCAAGAGAAAGCATTCTGTGGTTCCAAAAGTACAAGCAAGAAACATCTGTGTTGCACATCCAAGAAATGAAATAGATTTATTTTTTGCCAGGAAATTGACCAACATTTTTGGAGTGACAACTGTAGAATAGCAGACATCCAAGAATGATAAAACACCAAGAAAATAGTACATTGGGCTGTGAAGCCAGAAATCCCCAATGATCGGTACAACCAGCCCTAAATTGCCTATTAGAGTGAATAGATAGATTGCTAAAAATAATAAAAATAGGAAGACTTGCACATCAAATTCTTCTGTGAAGCTTATTAATATAAACATGGTGACTTCAGTAAAATTGTTTAATTGAAGCTTGTATAGATCCATATCTGAAGGCAACCCTGACATTTTAGCTATTGTTTATATGTACTAAATGCAACAGCCTGTGAAAATTAAGTTTATCCAATTATATCCTCATGTTCGTTTCTTGGAAAAGCAAGATGAAATCCTTGTCAGCAAATGCACAGGTGGTGATAAAATTGGGTCCAAGTGGATACATTACTGTAATTAAATAAATTAAATAAATTATTTTATTCAATCATGCACTAAATTTATCTTTTTAACATGGATGAAGCTGGAAGCCATCATTCTCAGCAAACTATCTCAAGAACCGAAAACCAAACACCGCATGTTCTCACACGTAAGTGGGAGTTGAACAATGAGAACACATGGACATAGGAAGGGGAACATCACACGCCAGGGCCGGTCGGAGGGTGGGAGGCTAGGGGAGGGATAACGTTACGAGAAATACCTAAGGTAGGTGTCGGGTTGATGCGTGCAGCAAACCACCGTGGCACGTGTATACCTATGTAACAAAACTGCACATTCTGCACATGTACCCCAGAACTTAAAGTGTAAAAAAAGTCTATTTAATCAGTTTAATTTCCTGTTCATTTTCCATCAAATGTACTACCATCTATTCTTAATATTAAATTGTTTCAAAACTCATAAAGACTGAGTGCTATTCCTAGGTTTTCTAAAAAGTCCATTGAATTACTTTATTTTTCTCATTTTAAATATGGAAACAATCATATCTACATTATAAGAGTGGGTTGTATTTAAATGGGAAAAACAGTATGTAAGTTATTTAATATTTAAATATGCCCAGATAACTAGAAAATGCAATGTCAGGCTTATATTAAAATTTATCATTTGAGACAGTCTTTCTGACCAAACCATTTCAAATCCTTTTTTTTTTTTTGGCAATTATCCTGCTGTTGCATTAGTACTTACAGAATGGTGGTGGATACAAGAGATTTGATTCTGGAGATAGATGCACCTTGTTTGCAAACCAAAAGAATTTGGTGTTCATTTTTCATTTATTTTTCCTTTTGTGTTTCACTTTTCTTTCCTGAAAAAAATATCACCAATTTGTTCATTTTGGCCTGTGCAGTTTTTTTAAGCATTATTATTTTTCAGATTTTAACTTAAAACCAATATCAGACGTGTCAATTTATATGATCATTTGGTCATTATGCCTGTGAAGTCCTTGGGTGTATTTTTGTGACATATTTATATCAAAAATGAATTATGGCTATCCTTTTACTATGATTCTTACGTAACTTCTGAAATTTCTATAAAATAAATACCATCCAATAACAAGTAATACAATTATTTTTATAAACTGTTGCTAAAACAACACACGTATTCTCTCCTATGATCCTTGGAAAGTATGTGATTCAATTTGTAATACAGCTTCACATTAAACAGAACCCTCTTTCTTATATTTAAATAGTAAGAAATATGTTTTAGTCTTAAATTCAAGGTGAGAGCTTCTTAATATTTTACAAGTGATCAGATTCCTTTTCTCTTACCTTTGGAAATGAACTGCTCACTCAATTCAGGTATGCTATGAATATTGTGCATTTGAATTCTTATACCAGGCCCTTGAGCTCTAGAATTCCACAGGGATGCCCAAAGAAGAAAACACACTAATTCTCTTCTGGGATAAAACAAATTATGATTTTTTTTTTTTTCTGTAGTGAACAAGTAACTGATCTGGAACATGCATTACATGATTCCAATGATCACATAAGTGTACTTTCTACCTAGGTCCAAAATAATCCCCCAGTGGAAAAAAATATGCATATTACTGAAAAAGAAAGCTAATAATACAGGCCATAGTGCTAGCTCTGATTCTAATTATCTACATGCTATCAAATTAATAACTTAAATTCTCTAAAATTCAGTTTCTTCTTGAAATTATAACCTATGAATTATCTGGAAGTCCTATTGTCACATACATAATGAAATAATATGAAAACATAACCTATGACAAGACATATAATCATTTAATAAAGGTTACTATATTTATTTAAATTTGACAGTCCTCTAATTCTAAATGGTATGAGAGAGATTTAACTTCATTGAAAATTTAATAGGCCAGGTGCGGTGGCTCATGCCTGTAATCCCAGCACTTTGGGAGGCCGAGACAGGCAGATCACCTGAGGTCAGGAGTTCGAGAACAGCCTGGCCAACATGGAAAAACCCCATCTCTACTAAAAATACAAAAAATTAGCCGGGCTTGGTGGTGGACGCCTGTAATCCCAGCTACTGGGGAGGCTGAGGCATGAGAATTGCTTGAACCCAGGTGGTAGAGGTTGGCAGTGAGCCGAGACCATGCCACTGCACACTCTAGCCTGGGTGAAAGAGTGAGATTCCATCTCAAAAAAAAAAATTAATAGAGGAGATATTAATGCACATAATTATAAGGTAAATCTATGAATAGAGAATATTAACAGAAGAGTTAGGGCAATATGCAGATGTTCTATGTAATAATTTTCTGTGAACTAGAACATTAGACTCAGATATATGGCAGAGTTAAAGGTCAATTTTTTAAGTTCTGCGAGATCTTTTCTATCTTCAAGAATTGATATACTAATCTATATACTTGTTCTTTGATATGCACATAAGAAATTATCCAAAATGTGATGAAAAATACATGGATGATCAAAAGAATGAAATGACAACAGACTAGGAGAAAATACTTGCAAGGACACATCTGATAAAAGACTGTTATCTAAAATTTACAAAGAACTGTTTAAAACTCAATAGGAACACAAACAACCTGATTTAAAAATGAGTCAAAGACCTTAAAAACCACCTAAAATGGTCAAAAAGGCCGGGTGCAGTGGCTCGCCTGTAGTTCCAGCTTCCAGCCTGAAAGGCAGAGGTTGTAGTGAGCTGAGATTGTGCCTCCGCACGCCAGCGTGGGCGACAGAGCAAGATTCCGTCTCAAAAAAAAAAAAAAATGATTTTAAAAATGAGTCAAAGATACCCCATAAAAGATATACATATGGCATGTAACCATATGAAATTGATGCTCCACATCATAGGTCATCAAGGAAATGCAAAAAAAACAATGATATATCTCTTCATAACTAGAGTGACCAAAATCCCAGAACACAGAAAACAGCAAAAGCTGGCGGTGATGTGCAGCAACAGGAAAACAGGAATTCTCATTCATTACTGGTGGGAATGCAAAATGGTCCAACTACTTTGCAAGACAGTTTGGAAGCTTCTTACAAAGCTAAATTTACTTATAATCCAGTAATCATGCTCCTTGGTGCTTACCCAAAGGAAACAATATCCACACAAAGTTTTGCACATGGATGTTTACAGAAGCTTTATTTATAATTGCCAAAACTTACAAGCAACTAAAATGCTCTTCAGTAAATAAATGTATTAATAAACTGTGGTTTATCCAGATAATGAAATATTATTCAGCTCTAAAAAGAAATGAACTATCAAGTCATAAAAAGACATGGATGAAATTCAAAGGCACATTACTCAGAAAAATAAACACATTTCCAACACCTAGTGAATGAATAAAACAATTGTAGTACATCCATAATATGGAATACTACTCAGTGATAAGTAGGTATAAAATATAATTATCTAGTACAGGAATGAATCTCAAATACTTCTTGCTAAGTTGAAAAAGCCAAACTCAAAAAGTTACATACATTGTGATTCCATTGATATAATATCCTGGACCAGGCAAAATCACAACAGAAAGCACATCTGTGGTTGCCAGAACTTGGGAGTAAAGGAAAGTAATTGGCTACAAAGTGATGAGAGGACTTTATAGGGTAATGAAAATATACTATAACTTGATTTGCTTACCTACTTGTGTTTATCAAAATTCATATAACTGACACTTATAAATGGTAAATTTTTCTGTTTATATTAAAACTTTAGAAAACTAGCTATTACATAAATTTATCATTGCTTCAGAATAGATAATGACTAGAGGACAGAATAAGGTAGCTGAGGCTGCTGACAATGGTAACGGGCTGCTGGCAACCTTCTAAAACATTATTTTGTTATTTTCATCCTTGTATACTTTAACTCTCATCATATGGAGTTCAATTGCCATCTTCTTGCTCCATCCATGTTTAAATGTGCTGGGCATCTTGACTCTCAGAAGAAGGTACATAGGAAGTTGGTGATATATCAAAGTAACTTTTCCAGGTTCATGCTGAAGGAATCACTCTCTAGCTTTCATTGTGGCCTTAAAATATTACTGTAAAGCTACTTTAGCTCTCAGACCTAAGCCTAATTTATGAGCAAATTCTCCCTGCTCTTCCTTGAGTCCTATAGACAGTCAGTTCTTGCCTTTCAAAGTGGTTCTCCACACCTTAGACATTTTATGTTGCCCTAAGTGTTCTGAGAACTACATCTCCCAGAATTCTCCTTTCTTAGTGAAGCTTTTCTTCCCAATGATTCTACTTGACTCAGTTAGCTTTTTTTTTTTTCAGCGTTTTGTTTTCCTTAGGGAAACAAGGACAAGTCTTTACTTGTCCTACTGAAAGGGTGTATATGCTGCACATTTGTGACATCCTTAATTACCTTGAGCACAGTTTCAATCATTCACGATCCTTTGGCGACACCTGTATTGAGACTGCACAGGGGTTGGGGTGGTAATTCACCTGAAACTTGGAACATATAAAAGCTTATCTACTCTTCCAGCTTGACTTTGCTGGAATTTTCACTCAATAAATTGTCTTTTCTTTTTACTGGTGGAGTTTGAAAATTCACGAATTCCATGTGTTATAGGTACTGTTAATCCTTCCTTTTCCCAGTTAATTCTGTGTCTGGTAAAAAAAAAAAAAAAAGTTGCTGATTTAACAAGATTCTGTTGCAACAGGGTGCTTTGACTCAATATTCTTTTTATTTTCAGGTTTTGTGGTGGTAGTCTTTGATATAATTTTGAAAAAACAAATAAAAATTATCCATTTATGTATTTTTCACTTTCACTCATTTCATGTTTGCTTGTTTATTGATTTTTTAAATATGTTGATGGAGATTCTGAGTTTATTAGTGAAAGTTTATGCCTGCCTTGCATCAGCTTCTTTCTCTCCTTCCTTTTTTCTCTTTCTACCTTTTCCTTCCTTCCTTCCTTCCTTCCTTCTTTCCTCTCTTTCTCTTTTTTTCCCTTTCTCTCTCTCTTTCTTTCTTTCTTTCTGAATGCATTGAGTAGAGGTGCAATTTTGTTGTATGGATATATTGAATATATTGAATATCTTGACTTTTAGTGTATCCATCTCCTGAATAATGTGCATTGTACCCATTAAGTAATTTCTTATACTCCACATACCTCTGACTCTCTCACCCTTCCAACTTTCCACTGTAATTCATTCCACACTCTATGTCATATGTATACATTATTTAGCTCCTGCTTATAAGTGAGAACATATCATATTTGACTTTCTTTTTTAAAATTGTTTCATTTAAGATAATGGCCTCCAGTTTCATCCATGTTGCTGCAAAAGACATGCTTTCATTCTTTTGTTGGTGAATAGTATTCAACTGCTTATATATAACATATTTTCTGCATCTAGTCATCCATGGTTGAACACTTAGAGTGATTCTGTATTTTTCTTACTGTGAATAGTGTGGTGATAAACATAAAAGTGCAAGTATCATAGAACCACCATTTGATCCAGCAATTCAACTACTGGGTATCTACCCAAAGTAAGATACTGATTTATCTTTTGGCAGATACCCAGTAGTGGGATTGCTAGATCAAATAGTCGTTCCATTTTCAGTTATTTGAGAAATCTCCATACTGTCTTCCATATAGGTAGTACTAGCTTACATTCCCAACAGCAGTGCATAAGCATCCCCTTTTCTTTGCCAACATCTGTTTTTTTTTTTTTTTTGACATTTTAAGATTGGTCATTCTAACTGGTGTGAGACGATATCTAATTAAGGTTTTAATTTTCATTTCTCTAATAAGTGATGTTGAGCATTTTTTCATATGCTTATTGGCCATGTTCATTGCATGTCTTCATTTGTAAAATGTTTATTGATATCTTTTGGTCACTTTTAAATAAGGTTATTTTTCTTCGTTGAATTGCTTGAATTCTTTCTAAATTGTAGATATTAGTCTCCCATCAGATGCATAATTTGCAAATATTTTCTCTCATTATGTGGATTCTCTGTGCCCTGTTGATGATTTATTTTGCTGTATGGGAGCTTTATAGTTTAATTACATCTCATGAGTTTATTTTTGTTTACGTTGACTGTGTTTTGGTGGTATTAGTCATGAAATATTGCATAGACCAATGTCCAGAAGATTTTTTCCTAGTTTTTCTTCTTGTATTTTTCTATTTTCAAGTCATATATTTAAGTCCTCCATCCAACTCGGGTTGATTTTTGTATATGTAAATGGTAATCCAATTTTCCTACACCATTTATTGCAAATAGGATTCTTTGTCCAGTGTGTGTTTTTGTTAAATTTGTTAAAAATCTGTTGGATGTATATATATGGCTTTATTTATGAGTTGTCTATTCTTTTCCATTGATCTGTGTCTGCCTTATATCCTACCATACTGTTCTGATTATTACAGCCTTATAGTGTAACTTAAGGCCTGGTAATGTGAAGCCTTGAGCCTTATTTTTCACTTGGGATTGATTTGGCTATTCACTCTTTTTTTGTTGTTCCATATGCATATTAGGATTATTTGTTCCAATTTTATGAAAAATCACGTTGGTCTTTTGATAGAAATTGCATTAAATCTATAGATTGCTTTAGGTGGTATATTCATTTTAAGATATTAATTCTTTTTTTTAAATTGTCAACTTTAATTTTAAGTTCAGGGGTACATGTTCAGGATGTGCAGGTTTGTTACATAGGTAAACCTGTGTCATGGTGGTTTGCTGCACGGATCATCCCATCACCCAGGTATTAAGCACAGCATCCACTAGGTATTCTTCCTGAACCTCTTTCTCCTTCCACCCTGCCCCTCATGCTCCAACAGGCCTCAGTGTGTGTTACTCTCCCCACCATGTGTCTATGTGTTCTCATTGTTCAGCTCCCACTTCTAAGTGAGAACATGTGTATTTGGACTTTTGTTCCTGCATTAGTTTGCTAAGCACAATGGCCTTCAGCTCCAGCCATGCCCCTGCAAAGAACATGATCTTGTTCTTTTTTATGGTTGCATAGTATTCCACATTTCTTGCGTATATGTACCACATTTTCTTTCTTTCTTTCTTTCTTTCTTTCTTTCTTTCTTTCTTTCTTTCTTTCTTTCTTTTTCTTTCTTTCTTTCTTTCTTTCTTTCTTTCTTTCTTTCTTTCTTTCTTTCTTTTGTTCTTCTTTCTCTCTTTTTATTCAGAGTCTTGCTCTGTCACGTTTGTGTACCATATTTCCTTCCCCTCCTTCCCTCCCTCCCTCCCTCCCTCCCTCTCTCCCTCTCTCTCTCTCTCTCTCCCTTTCTTTCTTTCTTTCTCTCTTTCTTTCTTTCTTTCTTTCTTTTGTTCTTCTTTCTCTCTTTTTATTCAGAGTCTTGCTCTGTCACGTTTGTGTACCATATTTCCTTCCCCTCCTTCCCTCCCTCCCTCCCTCCCTCCCTCTCTCCCTCTCTCTCTCTCTCTCTCCCTTTCTTTCTTTCTCTCTTTCTTTCTTTCTTTCTTTCTTTCTTCTTTCTCTCTCTCTCTCTTTCTTTCTTTCTTTCTTCTCTTTCTTTCTTTCTTTCTTTCTTTCATTCTTTTTCTTTCTTTCTTTCTTTCTTTCTTTCTTTCTTTCTTTCTTTCTTTCTTTCTTTTGTTCTTCTTTCTCTCTTTTTATTCAGAGTCTTGCTCTGTCACGTTTGTGTACCATATTTCCTTCCCCTCCTTCCCTCCCTCCCTCCCTCCCTCCCTCTCTCCCTCTCTCTCTCTCTCTCTCCCTTTCTTTCTTTCTTTCTCTCTTTCTTTCTTTCTTTCTTTCTTTCTTTCTTTCTTTCTTTCTTTCTTCTTTCTCTCTCTCTCTCTCTCTTTCTTTCTTTCTTTCTTTCTTCTCTTTCTTTCTTTCTTTCTTTCTTTCTTTCTTTCTTTCTTTCTTTCTTTCTTTCTTTCTTTCTTTCTTACTTTTTCTTTCTTTCCTTTTTTCAGAGTCTCTCTCTGTCACCCAGGCTGGAGTGCAGTGGTGGGATCTCAGCTCATTGCAACCTCCACTTCCTGGGTTCCAGCTATTCTCCTGTCTCAGCTTCTGAAGTAGCTGGGATTACAGGTGCACGCTGCCATGCCGGCTAGTTTTTTGTATTTTAGTAGAGACGGGGTTTCACCATATTGGCCAGGCTGGTCTCAAACTCCTGAGCTCAGGCAATCCACCCACCTCAGCCTCCCAAACTGTTGGGATTACAGGCATGAGCCACTGCACCTAGCCCCTTTGCCCACTTTTTAATGGAGTTGTTTGTTTTTTTCTTGTGAAATTGCTTAAGTTATTTGTACATTCTGGATATTAGACCATTGTCAGAGAATAGATTGCAAAATTTTTCTCCCATTCTGTAGGTTGCTGTTTACTCTGTTGATAGTTTCTTTTGCTGTGAAGAAGCTCTTTAGTTTAATTACATCCCATTTGTCAATTTTTGCATTTGTTGCAATTGCTTTTGGCATCTTCATCATGAAATCTTTGCCCATGCCTATGTCCAAAATGGTATTGCTAGGCTTTCTTCTGTGTTTTACATCTAAGTCTTTAATCCATCTTGAGTTGATTTTTGTATATGGTGTAAGGAAGAAGTCCAGTTTCAATCTTCTGCATATGGCTAGCCAGTTCTCCCAGCACCATGTATTGAATATGGAATCCTTTCCCCATTGCTTTTTTTTGTCAGGTTTGTCAAAGTTCAGATGGTAGTAGGTATGTGGTCTTATTTCTTGGTTCTCTATTCTGTTCCATTGCTCTATGTGCTGATAAGAAGAATGCTAACAAGGGATTTATACATTCAGATACAAGAGTCTCAGTCATCATTAGAAAAATACATTGCAAATCGGACTTTGCCATGCTGTATAGTCATCAGACTGTCTAAATTCAATGTGAACAAAAAATTCCAATGTCAGCAAGAGAAAAGTGTCTAGTCTGCTGAAAAGGAAGCCCCATCAGACAAAAAACAAACTTTTCAGCAATAGTCTTGCAAGCCAGAAGAGAATGAGAGGCTATTTTGAAAGTGCTAAAGGAGAGGAAAAAAAAAAAAAGAGCTGTGAATTTTATATCCAGCTACAATAAGCTCTATAAATGAAGGATAAATAAAGTCTTTTCCAGACAAGCAAACGGTGATGGAATGCATCACTACTTGATCAGCCTCATAAGAAATACTAGAAAAAGTCCTAAACATAAAAACAAAAGGCTGATATTCACTACCAAAATATCACATGGGATTATAAAATTCAGCCATTGTATAAGACAATTACACAAAGAAGGAAGAGACTGGAATTAAATAGCAATACAACAGAACTACACTAAACTACAAAAAAAAAAAGAAAAAAAATAAGAATGTGTAAAACAACTAGCTAAAAATGTACAATGTGACAGGAATAAAACCTCACATATCAGTATTAACCTTGACTGTAAATGGATTAATGTTCCTGTTAAAAGATATACATTTGTGGAATGAATTTAAAGAATGATCAAACTGTATCCTTGGTGATAAAAACACATATAGACTAAAAGTAAAGGAGTAGTCGAAAAGGATATTCCATGCAAATAGAAACCGAAAGTGAGCAGAAAAACTACACTGTATCTCAGATAAAACTGACTTTAAATAAATAATAAAAAAAGAGTAAAAAGACAGACAAAAAGAGTCATAATATAAAAATAAAAGGATCAATTCAACAAGAGTATATATCAATTCTAAATATCTGTGCACCCAATATTGGAACATGAGATGACTTATGATGTTTTACAGAGATGTAAATTTTTTGCCTTCTTTAAGTCTATGGCATTTTTGTAGCTTTCTTATTAATTTGCTATTAATACTCCAATGATTTCAAGTATTATACTTTATTCACTGCAAACATAGCAGTTTATAATTTTAACAGAATGAAAGTGTAATGCATTTGAATGACTGTAAATCTATCTGCTAGATTGTGTGGAAGACATATGGTGATTCAATGTTATTATAGTTCACTATATTTACTGACTCATTGCAATATAAAATGGCTTATATTGCCAGCATGAGGACACTAGGCCTCAGAGAAGTTAAGTTTTAAGCCAGTGTCAAAGTTATGTTATAAAATTGTGTGTCATGGCCAGGCACAGATGCTCATGACTGTAATCCCAGAACTTTGGGAACCAAAACAGGCCAACAGCTTGAGCCTAGAAGTTGGAGACCAGCCTGGACAACATAGAGAAACCCCATCTCTACTGAAATTAGAAAAACTTGACAGACATGGTGGTGCACAACTATAGTCCCAGCTACTCAGGAGGCTGAGGTGGAGGTGAGCCTGGGATGTGGAGGTTGCAATGAGCTGAGATCACAGCATTGCACTATAGCCTGGGCCACAGAGCAAGACCTTGTCTCAAAAATAAACAAATAAATTAAATTATATATGTCTCATATCTTAAGGTTTTTATTTAATATTAAAACACTTTAAAACATTTTTAAATGCCATCATTTTAACCAGAGGACAAAAAACCATTCAATAAATGTCAACATACGGTACCTTTTTCTAAGCCATTTACTTTTTCACTATTGAATAAATCATATTGCTGTTCTTAAACTGGAAGATAATGAAAGCATATTCTCTTGGGCATATCTCCTGTGAGTTTCATCAACATTCAAGTAAGTGGATATAAACAATCTATATGAACCATATTCATTAGGAAATCAAACCTACATTTGCTGTTCCACAGGTAGGAGAAATTTTCAGATCATTTGGAGATTATTTTAGTAGCTAGAACCTAAGAAAACAAGATCAAATATGTTATTTTGTACTAAACACTTTAGCTACTAAAAAGACTGTAGAAAACACATTAATTCTTGACCATTGTATAGGTGAATAATTTGTATTCATACACACCTGATTTGTGCAAAGTTCTGGCCAATAATTGAAAACCAGTTGAAAACAGATCAGTTTGAAGTATGAACAATCAGGAATTTACCAATAAAGGGCAAGAACATATTTATCTTATTCAACTAATGAGCATTTATATTTTGATATAACAAGAAAAACAATAAAAAATTATTTTAAGTTTATTTTTGCTAGCCATGGTATCTAGAAGTCACTTAGGACTGCTACTTACTTCTATTGTTTCTCTAGCTTCAATGGTTAAAAAAATCCAAATACCTCGAGAATCATGTTTTGTTTTATTTCACTGGGGATAGTGGGTGGGGTTGGAATGTAACTTTCAGAATGTAGACAAGGTCTAATAGAAGGCAGTAAATCATTGAAAAGTCCATGCATTATTTGGGTGACAGGAAGTTTAATCTTGCCTCTGGCACTTGATAGCTGTGAGATTTACTACAAAGTTGCAATAAAACAATGTGCACAAAAGTCTATTTCTATAGCAAGTGCTCAATAAATGGCTATTATTTCTCTCCTCCTTTGCAAATTTAGTGTTTCAATGTCAAACTCAAGATATTTGGAGAGTTATGTCTTCTACTAAATTTGTATTTATAGATGTGGCTTTATATTAATTTTCAAAGCTGATCGTATATTATTAATTTCTTCCAGAATCATAGTCATTTACTCTTTATAACTCTCAATCTTTTCTATATATGCTAATATTGACTTAGGCTAAACCAGGAAAACTCATCTTTTGGCATCTAGTAAAAATGCTGGTTTAAAGACAAATTTAGCTGAAGTGCTTAACATCATAGCTTTTCTCTATATCATTTATTTAAAGTAATATTAAGCCCACTATGATGTAACAAATAGTATTGTGGTAATATAATTGTGGTAATTTTGGGTATTAACAGATCACATAATTTCTGAAACATCTTTTACTTGACTAAAAAATACTTCAAAGTCATAAAGAGTAGACAGAAGAAAATCACAATCAAGATACTAAATTTAGAATATTTAAATTTAATCCTGATAGAATATTTGAGTATGTATTAATAATTTAAAAAACAAATTTATTAAATATAACAAAAAATAAAGGATCTGGTTCAAGGCTCTTGTCACATATTTTTCAATGATTTAGTTATAATATTAATTTTGCGACCTAATTTTTACCAGTATTTAAAATGTATATATATGATGACAAAAATTCAATAATGTTGTAATATTAAATATAACAAATTGATATATTAAAGGAAGTTCCTTCATATATTTATGTTTTGAACAATTGTTTAGTCTGCCTGTCTGCACATCATTGTGCTGCGTGGTTATTCAAATACATTTATATTTTAAAGAGGAAAAACCTTTGTAGAGAAGGCCTAACATCATACATGGCTCCAATCTGTGGAATTGGAATAAAGCAGATTGCCCTCCATCATTTCGGTGAGCTTCATCTAATTGGTCGATTGGCATAAAATGACCACCCTCTCACGAAGAAAAGAGTATTCTTCAAAAGACTGTCTCAGACATCATCAACCACATTGACTCTTCCTGGTTCTATGGAAGACTGCTTATGGACTCAGACTGAAACAGTAGCCCTTCTGGGTCTCCTGCCTGCCAACTCACCCTACAAATGTTGGACTTGCTAACCTTTACAATTAGTAGCTCTGGTATTTCTGGAATTGGCTGTCTAATATGATTAGTTTTAAAGACACTAATGAGGCTGGATGTGGTGGCTCACACCCGTAATCTCATCACTTTGGGAGGCCAAGGTGGGAGGATCACTTGAGTCCAGGAGTTCAAGACTAACCTATGCAATATAGTGAGAACCCATATATATATACAAAGAAATAAAAATAGCGTGGTGGCAAATGCCTATGTTCCCACCTACTTAAGAGGTCTGAGATGGGAGGATCACTTGAGCCTGGGAGGTTGAGGCTGCAGAGAGCAATGATCATGCCAACAGGGTCCTATAGGTGAGGGACAAAGTGTAAACTATGTAGAGGTGTGCTATACTCTAAAAGAAGTATTTGAGTTTCCTAACATATACAGGCTGAAATTCAGAGAATATGTTTGGAAATGGATATTAAGGATGTAAGATAATGATGAAAGGAATATAATACTGGATGAGACCAAATTTTTTGATACAAATCCAGTAAGCAGAGATAGTGCATTTAATGTTGCAGCTCAAAGAGTGAGAAAAGACTCTAACACATTTTTTGTTTGGCTAAAACATGGACCAAAAGGTAGCCCACAGTGAGTTAAATGTGAAGTCCCTGCTTTTATTTTTCTGTAGAAACATGGATTTAAAGGGTTAAAGATATTGAAAAGTTGAAGTGAATTTGCCTGTTAACATCTACCAACCCAAACTGGAAAAGTCCAAAAGATACATTGCTCACCAAAATAAACTTTGGTTCTTTGAGTAATCTCCATACTGATTTCCATAGACATAGAACTAATTTACATTCTCACCAGTGGTGTATAAGCATTCCCTTTCACCACATCCACACCAACACCTATTGTTTTTTGACTTTTTAATAATGGCCATTCTGGCTGGGGTAAGGTGATCTCTCATGGGGGTTTCGATTTGCATTTAGCAGATAATTATTGATGTTAAGCAGTTTTTCATATGTTTGTTGGCCATTTGCATATCTTCTTTTGAGAAATGTCTATTCATGTCATTTGCCTACTTTTTGGTAGTATTATTTGTTTTTATTCTTACTGATTTGTATCCCTTGTAGATTTTGGATATTAGTCCTTTGTTGGATGCATAGTTTGCAAATATTTTCTCCCATTCTGTGGGTTGTCTGTTTACTCTGTTGATTATTTCTTTTGCTGTGCAGAAGCGTTTCAGCTTAATTAGGTCCCATTTATTTATTTTTGTTTTTGTTGCATTTGATTTTGGGATCCCAATCATAAATTATTTGCCTAGGCCAATGCCCGAAAGAGATTTTTCTAGGTTTTCTTCTAAAAGTTTTATGGTTTCAGGTCTTAGATTTAAATCTTTAATCCATCTTAGGTTGATTTTTGTATATGGTGAGATATAGGAATCCAGTTTCATTCTTTTACATGTGGATATCCAGTTTTCCCAGCACCATTTATTAAATAGGGTGTCTTGTGCTCAGTTTACATTTTTGTATGCGTTCTTAAAGATCAGTTGGTTTTAAGTACTTGCCTTTATTTCTGGGGTTTCTGTGTTCCATATGTCTATGTATCTATTTTTATACCAGTACATGCTTTTTTTGTTAACTATAGTTTTGCTTGTAAATATTTGCCTTTATTTCTGGGTTCTCTGTGTTCCATCTGTCTATGTATCTATTCTTATACCAGTACATGCTTTTTTTGTTACTATAGCCTTGGTTGTAAGTATTTGCCTTTATTTCTGGGTTCTCTGTGTTCCATCTGTCTACATATCCATTCATAAGAATGGATACATACTTTTTTTGTATGTACCAGTACACACTGTTTTTGTTATTATAGCCTTATAGTATAATATTAAGTTCAGTAATGTGTTGCCTTCAGATTAGTTCTTTCTGCTCAGGATTGCTTTGGCTAGCTGGGTTGTTTTTAGGTTCCATATGAATTTTGGGATTGTTTTTCCTAATTCTGTGAAAAAGTTGACATTTTGACAGAAATTGCATTGAATCTGTATATTGCTTTGGGCAGTATTGATGGCAACGGCAGTCCATATGGAGTAGCCGCTGCAAAGACAACGGCTGCAGCAGGGGAGGCAGCTGGGGCTTTGTGCTCCACAGAGCCAGAGTGGGCCAGGAACAGGCAGGAGCCCTGCCCCGTAACAAGTTGGCAGGGTGGGAACCCTGTATTCCCAGGCACAGCTGCAGCCACCCAGCTGTGGCTCCAGACCTGGGCATTCCTGTGCTTGGGTGCCCAGGAGACCCCCTGCCCCTACAGGCTTTAAAGTGCCTGCTCTTGCTACCCACCTCTCCTAACTCCTGGCTCCCACTCCAAGGAATAGCAACGTTGTGGTCAAGCCTGGGCACTATTGCAACCCAGGTAGGTGTGTGCAAACTAGCACACCAGCCCCCTGCTGCCTTGGCATCCTGTGGACTTTGGGCACCAATGAGCATGGGAGGGAGGCTGTGGGGGGTGCTGAGGGTGGGTTGCCATTGGCCTGCAGGAACTCCTTGGCACAAACAGCCTGGGTGCCTTGGATGGTGAGAGACAGACAAATTCCTGGGCAGAAAGAGGCATGTCTCCACCCACCTTCAAGCCAGGGATGGCCTGAAGCCTAGGGGCCTGGGCTGCCAGTTCTGGGTGGAGTCTATGGCCTGGAGTGAGAACTTATATTGCTTTTTCTGGGTCCTTCCATGGCCACCCATGGGCCAATCAGCATGCACTTTCTTCTTTCTGAGCCCATGAAAACCCTGGACTCAGCCAGACTTGGACAGAAATCCAACTACCAGCTGCAGGAAGGAGCTACCAACTTTGGGTCTCCTTGACTCACTAGGACGACTTGCCTATGGAAAGGAGCTAACAACTATGGGTCTCGTCTCCACTGAGAGCTGGACACTTGTCAGGATGACCTGCCTTTGGAAAGAAGCTACCCACTGCAGGTCTCCTTAGAGCTATTCTGTTGCTCAATGAAGCTCTTCTCTGCCTTGTTCACCCTCCAGTTGTCAATGTGCCTCATTCTTCCTGGATGTGGGACAAGAACTTGGGACCACCAAATGATGGGACTGAAAGAGCTGTAACACAAACAGGGCAGAAACATGCCCCCTGCTACCCCCCATCCCCCCAACCACCACATTGCAGGCAATGATTTAGAGGAGGAGCTGCAGCCCTTTGGGGAGCCCAGACCTAGTGTCTCCCCAGGCCAGGGCTATAACGTCCTCTTTGGGGCTCTATGGTTTCTGACATTTCCAAGCTTTCAGACACCACCACACTCCCCCTGTTCAGATGCAGGTACCCACAGTGGAAGCTGCTTGTGATACATCTGATCCAGCCACAGCCTCGCACAGAGCCAGGACCTGTGCTTGCACCTGGAGCTGCCTGCTCAGCTGCAGCAGCCAGTGTGCCTGGCTGTGTGGAGTGGCTGGACCTTATTCCCACTTGCTCCTATACTCCTTGCCACTCTGCACCTGGCTTGCCCTTGGCAGATGTGGGTCCTGGGCCAGGAGCTCAGGCCAAGGGCGGACTGCCAGGCAGAGTTAATAAAATGAGTCCAGCGGGTGTGAGCAATACTCAGGCATAAGGCCACAGAGGTTTCAAGCTGGCAAACCAACACCCCAAGTAACCTGTGACAGTATGGTCAGTTTTACAATATTGACTCTTCCCATACATGAGCAGATTTAAATAAAACTCTAGATTTTTAAATTTTGAATTGCTTTTGGAATGAGTTAGGATTTTGGGGTGCTATTCAGATGGAACAAATGTATTTTTTATGTGAGAAGGACATAAATTTTGGAGTCCTGGGGCAAAATATTATATTTTAAATGTGTCTCCTCCAAAATTCAGGTGTTGCCAATTTGGTAGCATCAAGAAGTGAGACCTTTAAGAGGTGATTAGGCTGTCCTTACAACTCATTCTTTGTTAATGAAATTAAGGCTTATATGAAAGGCTTCGTTCAGCAGTTGGCTAGCTTGCTCCCTTTCCTGTCCACCTTCTGCCATGTGAGGATGCAGCAAGAAGGGTCTCACCAGACAGTAAATGCTGCCACCTTAATCTTGGACTTCTCAGTCTCCAGAAATGTGGGAAAACAAATTTTTATCCTTTATAAATGACCCAGTCTCAGGTATTCTGTTTTAGAGGCAAAAAATGGACTACTGCATAGAGTGCATTGGCTTTCCATCACATTGTTTAAATATAGTCCACTTTACAGCATAGTGCTTGAGGTATGGAATATCAAGGAAAAAAAGTAAACATCATCTAAGGACTTTTCATCCTCTTCTAGGGGAAAGGGTGAGAACAGTTTTGATTTTATTAAGAATGGAAATATCATGTTAGGTAGAAGTTTGACCTTATTTTTGTTTTCATTTGGAGATCAAGTATGTTTTAAGGGGATATATATGACTGCCAGGTTGACAAGGGGTACACTTATATTGATTAATTTTAATGTGTCAACTTAAATGGGCTATGATGTGCTTACATTTGGTCAGACATTAATGTGTTTGTTACTCTAAGGATGTTTTGGGAGAGATTAACATTGAAATTGGTGGCATTTGAGGAATGCCTATTGACCTCCATAATGTGGGTTGGCCTTACTCAATTAGATGAAGGTTTGCATGGAGCAAAAAACTAGCCTCTCCAGAGCAAGAGCTAATTCTCCAGCAGACTGCCTTCAGATCTTGTCTACGTCACCAGCTCTTCCTGGTTCTACAGCACTTTGCCCATGGGTTCCGAGTAGATTATCAATAATCCTGGATCTCCAGCCTAATGACCCACCCCGTAGAATTTGAAATTGCCAGCCTCCCAAAATCAGATGAGCCAATTCCTTGTAATGAATCCTTCATCCCCCTCCTCCCCCATACATCCTGTTGGTTCTGTTTCTCTGGAGAACCCTGATTAACACATCCTTCCTTGGGTCTCCTGAGTATTTTGTACCTGTGATTTTATGTTCTCTTATTTTTAGAAAATTCTTGACCATTTTGTCTTCAAATGTTTATTCTGACCCATTCTCCCTTGATTCTTGTTCTGAAACACTAACTGTATGTATATTGGACTGTTTGATGTTGCCCTACAGTTCTTTGATAACTTTTAATTCCATATTTTTTCTTTAACTTTTCTCTCTGGTTAATTTATGTTGCTTTATCTTTAAGTTCACTAATACTTTTCTCAAGTTACTGAATCTACTGATAAACTTGTGAAAGAAATTCTTTGTCTCAGATATTGTGACTGTGAGCATGAGTTTTTATTTATAGAATTTTATTGAATACTTCCATATATTTTCCATCTCTGATATTTCTCACATATTCATGCATGGTGTTTACCCTCTCCACTAAAGCATTTATTCTAGTAATTTTCATGCTCTTTACTCAAAGACAACGAGGAATAACGATATTTGAAGACGTTAATTTTATTTGTTTTTTTTTTTTTTTTTTTTGTAAATGCTTGTTGGGGGCCTGCAGAGAAAACCTTGGGAGTGAATGCAAACTTTATTCTAGGACTTCCTGCTTTTCCCAATAACTCTCACTTGGCCTTTAAAATTACTTAATTTTAAGCTGATTTCCTCTGTTTTTAAACTATACTTTAACTTCTGGGATACATGCACAGAACACGAGGTTTATTACATAGTTATACACGTGCCATGATGGTTTGCTGCACCCATCAACCCATCATCTACGTTAGGTATTTCTCCTAGTGCTATCCCTCCCCTGGCACCCCATCCCCCAACAGGCCCTGGTGTGTGATATTCCCCTCCCTGTATCCATGTGTTCTCATTGTTCAACTCCCACTTACGAGTGAGAACATGCAGTGTTTGGTTTTCTGTTCCTGTGTTAATTTGCTGAGAATGACGGTTTCCGGCTTCATCCATGTTCCTGCAAAGGACATGAACTCATCCTTTTTTTATGGCTGCATAGTATTCCATGGTGTATATGTGCTACATTTTCTTTATCCAGTCTATCATTGATGGGCATTTGGGTTGGTTCCAAGTCTTTGCTATTGTGAATAGTGCTGCAATAAACATAAGTGTGCATGTCTCTTTATACTAGAATGGTTTATAATCTTTTGGGTATATAGCCAGTAATTTCTTCCTATCTGTATGGTGAACAAATATATCTCATACTCTGTGCCCACAGTGAAAGAAAGAGATGCTCAGGCATCTCATCTACATTTGAAGTAACTTGGTCTTCTTTGGAATTCAGATTTCTTGGATGTTTTGAACCTTGGTTCTCTGATAGACTCATGAAAAGCTATAATTTTGAAGATTACTTGGCTTTTTAAGTTGTTAGAATGAGAAGAATTTACTTTGCTGCTTTCCAAATTCTGTGTGGAAGTAGAGGTTCTGTATATCATTTAAAATCCCACCCAATACTGCGATTTCAAATGTTTCTTTTCTGGATAACTCTCCACTCACCACTGTAATATTCTTCTGGAGTTTTAGTTCTGTGCATTAAAAATGTAATGGAACCTCAGAATCAGTATACATATAACTGATCTTAACCACTCAACTTCTACAATATTCATCTCTCCAGTGTGTCCCCTTCCTATTTCCTTCCTTCTCCTTTTTCTGTCTGTCTCGTCTCTCTCTGTCTTTTTTTTCTCTCTCACTTTTACTTTTTATATTTGTCTTGTTTTATCATATAGGCTCAAAACTTGCAAATTCAAAAGGTCTCAATAAATAAAATGAATTGTCAAATCCAGATGAAATTTCACTTCCAATAACTTTTATTTTTAATTAATTTTAAAATTTATAATTGACAGAAAAGAATGGTATATATTTATTTATGGCGTACACTGTGATGTTCCAATGCATGTATACATTGTAAAATGGTCAAATCAAGGTAATTAGGATATCCATCACTTTAAACATTTATCATTTATTTGTGGAATAACATTTAAAATATTCTTTGCCAGCTATCTTAAAATACATACTACACTGTTACTGCCACAGTCACCCTACTGTGTAATAAAACATCAGGACTTACTTTTCCTGTTTAATTGTTATTTTATATCAATCAACCAACCTCATTTAATTTGTCTCCACTACCCTGTTTAGCTTCTGATAACCACTTTTCACTTACTTTTTACTTCTATAAAATCAAGTTGTTTATTATTATTATTATTATTATTATTCTACATATAAGTGAGATTGTGCAGTATTTGTATTTCTGTGCTTGGCTTATTTCACTCACTTATTCATCCATGTTGTCATTAATGGCAGGATTTCATTCTATTTTATTTCTCAGTAGTATTCCATTGTGTGTGTGTGTGTGTGTGTGTGTGTTTGTGTGACATTTTCTTTATGCATTCATTTGTAGATGGGCATTTAGGTTCATTCCATATCTTGGCTACTGCAAATAATGCTGCCATAAACATAAGAGTACGGATATCTCTTTGACATACTGATTTCTTGAAACTTCTACATCTCAATGAATGGAATGAATGGCCAAATCAGTGGAAACCACATTTTCAGTACTTTTAAAATGCATTCCTTTTTCTTCTTATTTCTGCCACAGACTTAATGAGGAGCTTCAGTATTCTCAATAATGCTCTCTGGAGGATAACTAATAAAGTTGGTAAAGTGAAAAGATAAATCTGTTCTTTCACTCCATGTATAACAAGCTTAAAAACAGGAACTCTGTAACCAGACAGCTTAGATGTGAATCCTGACATCACCCTTTAGAGCTATGTGGCATTGAGCAAATTCCTTAAAATTTATGTGCTGCTGTTTCCTCAACTTTGTTAAAAGATATTACTACAACCACTTCCTGAAGTTATGAGAATTACATAAGTTAATATAGTAAAAACTTTTACATGATTGTCCAGTACCTGATAAGCATATGTTAATTATTAGTATTAAATATAATTCATTCATGTACTCACTATTTATTTAATAAATATTTTGTCAGCAAACCATAAGTTCTAGGTACTCTTTTAGGACTCAGGGATACAATTTTGAGGACAAATATGCCCAATGCATGTTTTTATGCAAGTTACAATGTCAGCATCATGGTAGATCTGGATAATATATTATAAAATCACAACATCACATGCTAAATGGCAACTGTGATAAGTGAGAGAGGCTCCATGGGGTCATAGTGAGTCAAATCATTCTTTTGGGGGGAAAGGTAATTGAGCTGAGATATGTAACAAAATGTTCTATTGACTTGAGAGTTAAATATACCATTTTTCTCACCTTGACCTGAACAAATAGCAGGTCATTCGAGACTGCTTATTCACACCATTTGTTTTCTAATCGATTAGGATAAAAAGAGAGATAGTGAACTTTTCATGATGGTTAACTTGACAAGTTCTGAATGAGTTTGTTGAATGCATTGTTAACCAGATATTTTTAGGCATATGTCAGTGCATCATTTTACCTAATGCTCGCCTATTCCTTTCTCAAAGAATGACTATTTTTGCTAATTTGAAAGAGAAACAAAACAAAAAAAGAGATAGCAACCTTGACTAAAACGTTACCTAACAATTTTGACACCATAATTTGAAAAACCCTCAAAAAAATAAATGATTCTGGAATTCTGCAGAAATTTTAAATTTTGTGAGACAGCTATTTATTTAGACACATTTTTGAAGCATATTAAATTTTCTTCCAGAACATTCTCCCCAAAAGATCATACACAGGAAACTACATTTTAAGATTCTGTAATTCAAATAGCTTATTTTTTTAAGAAAATTTTGTCTACAGTGTAATCAGGGTTTTGTATCTAAAAATAGATTTATTTTTTTAAGAGGAAATTTAGTACAGATTTTGACTGCAAGCATTTGCTTATTCAAAAAAAGAGGGTTGGGTTCTCTTTGCATAATTGATTAGTAAAGATTAGAAACTGATGTCTGAAATTTTCAGTGTGGCTACTATGTTATGATTGGATCATTCTGGTTAATTCACATAAAAATATCCTTGGAGGGACAAGTGTGTGTTTTTTGAAAAAACAATTAATTTCCACTTTTAATGAATCTTCAAATAAATGTTTTAACAAAACTTACTAAAGCAGAATACGTAAAGTAAAGCCAGATGTGAGTAGAGGTAAAGCAAAATAATTTCCATTCTGTGGGCTTGCTCACTAGGTGTAAATTTTGTGGAAGGATGACATTGCAGTCATTTCTTACAGGTAAAGTAGATAGAAGATAATGGCAGGACTACGAAGTGAGCAAGGATATGCTAGTTTGTCAGACCTTAGAGCAGTCATTTATACATATGTCATAGTTTCATTCCTGGGGTATAGTGTTTCCTGAGCCTTCAGAACACTCTCAATAAATATTAGCATTCACAACCAATATAGTTTCACAATGACTACAATCAGCTTCTGTGGTTGAAAAGGGGCAAGGAAAGCATTTAATTGTGGAAAGAATTTATGATGTAGATATAAACACAGCAAAAGGCATGTTTGGAAGCTTGAGTAGATCTCAGTTTATGAAGGCACATTTAGGGAAAGTAAAGTAAAATTTGGATATTTCTTCTTAGGGCTTATAGATTGAGGAAGTAACTCCACAATGAATGCAAAAACTTTTTATCAGCCATGTAAGCATTTATCAATTCCCAGGATTCTGTAGGATTCACTTACTAGTTATAAGTGTGTAACTGATTTTTACTTACTGTGAAAGCTGTTGTTAGTAGTGTGTGGTTGGTAACAATAACAATATATTTATATCAAATAATATTTAATATAGATCTCTGAACAAATTAATTGGCAAATATGTGATGCAATTTGTTTACATTTGAAAAATGCTGCATTGGCAGGCTGCTTAATGCTTTTTTGAAACTATTCTTTGATATGCAAATACTTTAACTAAAATATAGAGATGTGAACTCTGACACTCAACATTTTTTTCAGGTTTACTCAATTTTAAATATATTCTTCATTTGTAAACCAATTTCAACATTTTCTTCACTGCCTTTTTTACTTCTTTGTTCCTCAAACTATAGATGATGGGATTCAACTTGGGAATCACAATTGTGTAAAATATTGACACTATGATGTCATGGTCTGAAGCATAGCTGGAACTTGGTCTCATATAACTGACGAGAATTGTTCCATGATAAATTGTCACTCCAGTTAGGTGAGAGCCACATGTAGAGAAGGCCTTTTGCCTTCCCTTAGCAGAATGCATCTTCAGAATGGACAACAGAATGAAATCACAGGAAATGAGGACAATCAGGATAGTGACTATCTCAATAGAACCCACAAAGTAGAAGAGTAGAAGCTGGTTTGTGTGAGTGTCAGAACAAGAAATAGCAAGGAGAGGAGGCATATCACAAAAGACATGCCTAATTTCATTGGATCCACAGAAGGACAGGCTAAATGTAGCCACTATATGTATAGTAGCATGTAAAATGCCAGCAACGTAGGAAGCAGTGATGAGTGGCACATAGACTCTGGGTGACATGCTCACTGAATACAGGAGAGGGTTGTAGATGGCTACATAGTGATCATAAGCCATTGCAGCCAAGAGAAAACATTCTGTAGTTCCAAAAGTAACAAAAAGAAGCATCTGTGTTGCACATCCGATAAATGAAATGGATTTATTTTTTGCCAGGAAATTGACCAACATTTTTGGAGTGACAACTGTAGAATAGCAAGCATCCAAGAATGATAAAACACTAAGAAAATAATACATGGGGTTGTGGAGCCAGGAATCCTCAATGACCAACACAACCAGCCCTAAATTGCCTATCAAGGTAAAGAGATAGATTGCAAAAAATAGTAAAAATAGGAAGACTTGCAGCTCAAAATCATCTGTGAAGCCTGTCAATATAAACATGGTGACTTCAGTCTTGTTCTTCAGTGGATTCCTGTATATATCCAAACCTGATGACAACTTGTCCATTTCAGTTTTTACTTGCAGGTTATAAAGGTTATAGCCTGTGAAAGTGGAGTCCATTCAATTGTATCCTTGTTTTTTTCTTGGGGCATAATAATTTCCCTGATAGTAATGGAATAGACAATGATGAAGTAATTGGAGCCAAATAGATGAATTTCACTGTATAAGTAAAAGGAAAAAAAATATGTAATTAATTTCTTGGCTAAATTTATCATGTTTTTAAAAAACCCTGCTAATTAAAGTGATTTTATTTTCCAGTTAATTTTCAGTTGAAATTTTTACTGCTTCCTCTCATATTATGTCCTAAAGCTCACAAAGATTGCTGAATGTAGAAATATTTAAAACTAAATATGTTATAGTGGAAAGCACACACTTGAGTACACTTTTAGATTTGTGATGAAGTACATGAAATGTCTTTTGTAAATGTTCACAATTTTAAAATAAGAGAAACCACACTCACAGCACAGTTGAATTTAAATGTTTAAAAATATCAAAACTATTTAATTTAAAAGGCTTCCAAATGACTAGAAAATGGGGATAAGTCAGACATACATTTCAACTTGTCGCATGCAGCAGCCTTTTTAAATAAAACCATTTCATGTCCTCTGTTCTGGCAATTATCTTGTTCCATTACATAGAAGAGCAGACTGTATTCTGGAGATAGACGTACCTTTACAAACATTACAATGTGTTTTATTTTCAGGATTTTTTCTTCCTGAAATATATATCACCTAGTTGGCAAATTTTGGCCTCTGTACCTTGTTTATCATAACTGTTTTTAAATTTCAACTTAATAACAATGTGAGATATATCTTACTAATAATTCATATGTTTGTTATTTTTGCAAAGTCCTTGGATGTATTTTATTTTATTTTATTTTATATTTCTGTTAAAAATAAATCATGGCCATTCTTTTAGTATATTATAGTTGCTTTTAGAGTTTCTAAAATTACTATGAAATAAAAATCACCAATAATAACTAATAAAAATTATAGAATATCTGGCTAAAAAATAACATTACTATATTTGCAAGAAAGTAGTGTTTGTCCTCTGGACTTCTTTCCTGATGGTATCATTCTGTTTCACATTGACAAGTATGAAGAAAGACAATTACACAACCAAAAATAAATAAATAATTAAAAGAAAAAAGGTAACAAGGTTACAGGGACTTCTGTATCTAGACTGAAAACCTGTTATTGAAACGGTTTAGTACTACATACACTAAATTTAGAGGTAAAATTAGAGGGGAGATTTAAGCAAGGTGACTTTGTTTTTCTTTTATCATGTCATAGATTATGAAAGTTTTAAAAGGGGTGACAACTCTGTCATATGCAGGTCCATTCTGAATTCAGTGACTTACAAATGATTTATATTCATGATGTGAGACATACCAAAATTTTGTCATGTTAAGATGACCACACATTAAGAAGAGAATGAACAAATAAGACTAAAACCACTTTTAGAAAGAAAAAAAAAGGCCAAGTGTTTATATATATTATTATAGAAATGTCCTAACAGATCCATGTGGAAGATTTTTTTAATATACAAAATAAATACCCTCATAAATGAGGGACTACAGAACGAAACAAAAATTCTCATTTGATTCTTAGAAAATTCTACAGCAAAAGATATAATTCAGTTAAATTCCACTTTCTGTGTAAATCCAGACTACTTACATATTACTCATGACAACACACACATACACAAATATATTAAGTAATTTTGTTTGTGTTATGTGAATAAAATAGCTTATAAAGTTATCAATAAATATTTTAAATATGAATTAATGTATTTTTGAGTCATAAAAAATATAGTTCTCTTATACAAATTCCTATCCTCTCTTTCTCCTATATTTTCTCCTTTCTCTCTCTTTCTCTCTCTTTCTTTCTGTGTTAGAAGAATCAATGGGATATATACAAACGTTTACTGACAAGAGTCAGGAACAAACAGGAATTAGCCAGATAAGAAGAAGCACGATTCAAAAAAAAAATGCCAGTGAATTTTGAAAAATGTGCTAATAATCTACCAAAGGAGTCCATTACAAAATACATGTTTACCACCACATAGAGGAGAAAGGTCAGCTACATTACAATTCCAGACTTTATTTTCCTAAGATATCTGAAATAAGGCAACTGTAGAATACTGGGAATTATATTTGGACTCTAAAACTCTATGTTTAAATGTCATGTTTAGCAGCATAAGCTTGGAAAAATTACTTCTCCTTCCAAACTAAAGGATAAGTAAGATTGGATGAAACTTTCACATATACCTCATTCAACTGCATAAACATGAGGTGATTGCACAGTTCTTTTTTATGAGATGCATTAAGATCAATTTTAATAAATAATTTTTTAATTACATGTGAATAATGCATACATATATGACTTAAAATTTTTATTTATATAATAATATAAACAGGAATTTACAAAATCAATATTTTAATAGAACCACAGTGCAACCCTGATGTAACCTGCCATAGTTTTAGAAATGTTATGTCCTAGAAACTATGTAAAATAGAATTTTTGTGTTATTAAATTATTTAAAGATATTAAGCTTAAATAGAATATGAAAATTTAAAATAATAACTAAACTTGCTTCTTAGTCAATTACCTAACTTTTACAATAAACTTAACTTTTCTGGTATTCCTATATCAGAAAATAAAATAAATTGAACCCAAAATGAAATATACCCAAAAGCTAGTTGAAAGTTAATTTTCTCTGTATCTAATAATTTTTCTAAATATGAAACATTGTCCCTTAATCCTGCTGCCCCTATTTTGACTATTCATCAGAAAAAAAATAAAACAAATTTCTAATTTATGGCTCTATTCATGAAAATATGTAGGAAGTCCTTTATATTTTCTGTGGTATATATCCTAGAAGGCATATGATTTAATTTGTGGTAAAATTTTTGAGATTAATAGAATCCTTTTATATTTAAATATTAAAGCATATATTTTCAAATATAATATAGCTTCTATAATGTGTTATATGTAATAAAGAGGTTTTCCTCCTACCTGTGGAAATAAGCTGCTCGCTAAATTAGATACATGATAAATATTATACATGTGGATTCTTATACCGGCTTCTCAAGCTCTTCAAGTCCTCAGGGATGGCCCATTGAAAACACACACTAATTCTTTTCTGGGACAGAAATGTATCAAGAATACTTTTAAAATAGTAAGCAAGTGAATGTTTCTGGAGTAATGAACTACATGATGAAAATGATTACCTGAAAGAACCTTGGCTTCTGGCTAAAAAAAAAAAAAAAAAAAAGTGATCCCTCGGTGGAAAAGAATCCTAATGATACAAGACATAGTCCCAGCTCTGATGCCAGTAAGATGAGAAATTCTCTGATTTCCAGTTTCCTTTTTCTGGGAATATACCATGCACATTCTCTGGAAATCCTGGAGACATGTAATAAAATAATATGGAAGCGCAACTCATGACAGGATTTACAGTCTTTAATAAAGTTTACTTTTTTGACTTTAAAGTGCTATAATTCTAAGTTGTATGAGAAGCAGATTTAGACACCTTGAGTGTTCTATCCCTTGAGAAGAGATAAAGATGAATACATGAATAGGAAATATTGACAGGAGAGATGGAATAGTGTACAGATAATAATGTTCTATATAATAGGACCTTAGAATATAAGACCTCTGGCAGAGATAAAGGTCAAACTTTTTGCGTTGAATTTAGTCTTGTCTTGGGGATTCTACATACTAATGTATAAGCTACTACCCAGCTATGTACATAAGTAAGTCTTGGGGAAATTATGGAAAATACATAAATGTCTAGCTAGGTTCCATACCCAGAGATTGTATATTGGTAGATAGGAAATATTGGTTTCTGAAATCTGTATGTAAAATATAAAGAAAAGAAAGTTGATACTGGAAGGCAGCCTAACTGTGAACTATCTATTAATTAAAATCCCAAACTGATTTATAGATTCGATGCAATTCTAGTTAAAATTAAGAATTTTTTGTACAAATTGAGAAATTGATTCCACAATTTATATGCAAAATTAAAAAAAAACGGAGTCGAAACAGTTTTGAAAACGAAGAATAAATTTGGAATGTTTACACAATCTGTGAATGGGACTGAGTTTAGGACTTACCACAAAGCTAAAATAACCAAGATAGTGAAATATTGGGTAAAAAAATACACTTCAATTAATAAAATGGAATAAAGTGTTGAGAACCAGATTCACATATATATGGTCAATTGATTTCTGACATAATAAAGACAATCTTCGTTGTCTGCTCATCTTTAAAAGTGGCTCGCTGAAAATAATTCTCAGTGTCATTTTACATCACTTCATCAGATATTGTTTCTGATATCCCCACATCATAAAGTTACAGTCTAGACCCTCTCTAAAATATATCCAAAGCTTGCAACAATGTCATATTTCATCCCTTTCTGTGTCTTTGCTTGTCTTCATGGTGTTTACAGTCCCTGATAGAAGTTTTCTGTTTCTCCCCAAAATAGGCCAAAAATAAATTTTAAATATATAAATGCATGAATAATTATGAAAATTATTTCCCTATTCCGGACTCAATATGCTTACCTAAAAAATAAACCATTCACTAGATCTACGGTTTCTAATCCAGTTGCTCTTCAAGAACATCTGGAGAATTAAAGAAATGTAATAACTTTATTATACCTCCTTTTTCTACTAAATTTCTCTATGTAGATTCTAGGCATGTGTATGTGTGTTTTGTATATATTTATGTGTATGTAACTATGTATGTGTATATATATATCTCTACACACATGCATATATATGTGTGTATATATGTATATGCACACATTTATGTATATACATACCTCATATGTGTAGGGCTGTGTATATACATAAATACACATATATATAAACATATGATATAGTAGTACCCCTTGATCCATGGGGGATGTATTCCAAGACCTCCAATGGATGCCTAAAACTTCAGATAGATAGTACCAGGCCGGGCGCGGTGGCTCACGCCTGTAATCTCAGCACTTTGGGAGGCCGAGGCGGGCGGATCATGAGGTCAGGAGATCGAGACCATCTTGGCTAACACGGTGAAACCCCGTCTCTACTAAAAATATAATAAATTAGCCGGGCGCGCTGGCTGGCGCCTGTAGTCCCAGCTACTCAGGAGGCTGAGGCAGGAGAATGGCGTGAACCCTGGAGGCGGAGCTTGCAGTGAGCCGAGATAGAGCCACTGCAGTCTGGCCTGAGTGAAAGAGCGAGACTCTGTCTCAAAAAAAAAACAAAACAAAACAAAAAAAACTTCAGATACAAGCCTTATACAAGCATAGCTTATTTCATTTGTTTTATTGATCTTTGCAGATATTGTGGGGTTTTATTCTTTTTTGGCAATTGAAGGTTTATTGGCACCATTTTTCCAACAATGTATACCTGCTTTGTGTCTCCATGTCACATTTTGATAATTCTCGTGATAGTTAAAACTTTATTTATGTATGGTAATTTGTGATCAGTAACCTTCGATTAATATTTTAGATGTTTTGGGGCACCATGAACTGTGCCCATATAGGATGGCAAGCTTAATTGATAAATGTTGTGTGTTTTCTGACTGCTCCACAGACCTGCTGTTCCTCAGCTTCTCTCCCTGACTTTGGGCCTCACTGTTTCCTGAGCCACAACAATATTGCAATTAAGCCAATTAATAATGCTACAATAACGGCCAAGTGTTCAAGTGAAAGTAAGAGTCACATGTGTTTAATTTTAAATCAAACTAGAAATAATTGAGCTTAGTGAGGAAGGCATGTCAAAAACCAAGATGGGCCAACAGCTAGGCTTCTTGTGATAAGTAATTAGTCAAGTGGTGAATACAAAGGAAAAGTTCTTGAAGAATATTAAAAGTGCTACTCCAGTGAACATATAAATGATAAAGTGAAATAGCCTAACTACTGATATGGAGGAAATATTAGTTGTCTGGATAGAAGATGAAACCAGCTGCAACATTAGCTTAAACCAAAGCCTAATCTAGACCACGGTCCTAACTGTCTTCAACTCTGTGAAAACTGAGAGGGTAGGGAAGCTGCAGAAGAAAAGTTGAAAGCTAGCAGGGTTGATGAGGTTTCAATCAGAAAGGGTTGATGAGGGTTCATGAGGTTTAAGGGCAGAAGTTATCACCATAAAGAGTACAAGGTGGGCCAGGCGTGGTGGCTCACACCTGTAATCCCAGCACTTTGGGAGGCTGAGGCAGGCAGATCATGAGGTCAAGACATCCAGACCACCCTGGCCAACATGGTGAAACCCCATCTCTACTAAAAATACAAAAATTAGGTGGGTGTGGTGGCACACGCCTGTAGTCCCAGCTACTTGAGGCTGATGCAGGAGAATGAATCCCTTGAACCCAGCAGGTGGGGGTTGCAGTGAGCCAAGATCTCACCATTGCACTCCAGCCTGACAACAGAGTGAGACTCTGTCAAAAAAAAAAAAAAAAAAAAAAAAAAAGTGCAAGGTGAACCAGCAAGTTTTAATGTAGAAGCTGCAATATATTATACAGAAGATCTAGCTAAGATCATTGATGAAGGTGGCTATATTAAACAACAGATTTTTAGTGTAGACAAAACAACATTCTAATGAAAGAAGATGCCATCTGGGACTTTCATGGCTATACAAGAGGAGTTAATGCCTGGCTTCAGAGCTTCGTTGAAAGAACAGAGTGATGGTTTTGTTAGGGGCTAATGTAGCTGGTGACTTTAAGGTGAAGCCAGTGATCATTTACCATTCCAAATATCCCAGGGCCCTTAATAAGTGTACAGATACGGTGTACTCTGCCTGTGCTCTATAAGTAGAATAACAAAGCCTGGATGATAGAATATCTGTTGACAGCATGGTTTACTAAATATTTTAAGTCCACTGTTGAGACCTACTACTCAGGTAAAATGATTCCTTTCAAAATACTACTACTCATTGACAATGCATCTTGTCACCTAAAGTTCTGATGGAGATGTACAAGGAGATTAATGTTGCTTTCATGACTGCTAATACGACATCCATTTTACAGCCCATGGACCAAGGAGTGATTTCAAATTTCAAGTCTTATTTTTTATTTATTTTTTTTTTGAGACAGTCTAGCTCTGTTGCTCAGGCAGGAGTGAAGTGACATGCTCTCTTGGCTTACTGCAACCTCCACCTCCTGGGTTCAGGTGATTCTTCTGCCTCAGCCTCCTGAGTAGCTGGGATTACAGGCACCAGACACCATTTCCTGTTAATTTTTTTTTTTTTTTGTATTTTTAGTAGAGATGAGGTTTCACCCTGTTCACCAGGCTGGTCTCAAACTCCCAACCTCAGGTGATCCCCCGACTTAGGCCTCCCAAAGTGCTGGGATTACAAGTGTTAGCCACTGCACCTGGCCTTCAAGTCTTACCTACTTATTCATTTATTTTGGGATGGAGTCACGCTGTGTCTCTCAGGCTGGAGTGCAATGGCACAATCTTGGCCCACTGCAACCTCCGCCTTCTGGGTTCAAGTAGTTCTCCTGCCTCAGCCTCCCAAGTAGCTGGGATTACAGGCATGCACCACCATGCCCGGCTAATTTTTGTATTTTTGGTAGAGATGGGGTTTCATCATATTGACCAGGCTGGTCTTGAACTCCTGACCTTGTGATCCACCTGACTCAGACTCCCAAAGTGCTAGGATTACAGGCATCAGCCATCACTCCTGGCCTTAAGTCTTATTTTTTAAGAAATACATTTTGTAATGTTATAGCTACCTTAGATAGTGATTCCTTTGATGGATCTTGTTACAATAAATTGAAAGCCTTCTGGAAAATATTCAACATTCTAGATGCTATTAAGAATATTTTTGATTCATGGGAGGAGGTCGAATTATAAATATTAATTGGAGTTTGGAAGAAGTTGATCCTAATCCTCGTGAATGACTTTGAGGGGTTCACAACTCTAGTGGAGGAAGTAACTGCAGATATGCTGGAAAAAGGCAGAGAACTAAAACTGGAAGTAGAGCCTGAGGGTGACTGAATTGCTGCAATTTCGTAACCAACCTTGAACAGATGAGAAATTGCTTCTTATGGACGAGCAAATAAAGAATTTTCCAAGATGACATCTACTGCTGGTGAGGATGCTGTTAACATCATTAGAATGACAAATAATTTAGAATATTAAATGAAGTTAGTGTATTAGCCCATTTTTATACCGCTATGAAGAAATACCTGAGACTGGGTAATTAATAAAAAAAGGAGGTTCAATGGACTTGTTGCGGAGGCCTCACAATTGTAGTGGAAGTTGAAGGAGAAGCAAAGCCACATCTTATATGACTGCAGGCAAGAGAGTGTGCAGGGGAACTGCCCTTTATAAAACCATCAGATTTCATGAGACTTATTCACTATTACCAGAACAGCAAGGGAAAAACCCACCCCCATGATTCAATTACCTCCCACCATGTCCCTCCCATGACGTGTGGGGATTATGGGTGGCACAATTCAAGATGAGATTTGGGTGGGGACACAACCAAAGCATATTAGTAAGTAATAAAGCAGTGGCAGGGTTTAAGAGGATTGGTGTTACAACTTTTTTTTTTTTTTTTTTGAGACTGTGTCTTGCTCTGTCACCCAGGCTGGGGTGCAGTGGTGCAATCTCAGCTCACTGCAAGCTCCACCTCCCAGGTTCATGCCATTCCCCTGCCTCAGCCTCCCAAGTAGCTGGGACTACAGGCACCCACCACCATGCCCGTCTAGTTTTTTGTGTTTTTAGTAGAGACGGTTTTCATCGTGTTAGCCAGAATGGTCCCAATCTCCTGATCTCATGATGCACTCACTTCAGCCTCCCAAAGTGCTGGGATTACAGGCATGAGCCACCATGCCTGGCTGATTGGTTCCAATTTTGAAAGAAGCTCTACTATGAATAAAATGCTGTCAGACCACATTTTGCATGATACAGATAAATATTTTGTGAAACAAAGAGTCAACCAATGTGGCAAACTTTATTGATTTCTCATTTTAAGTAATTGCCACAGCCTCCCCAACTTTCAGCAACCACCACCTTGTGAGTCATCAGGGATTTTACTGATTGTTTTCTATTTGTTATGTATATCCTTTATTCCTCACTTTCAATCTTATTGCTTATTTTTGTGGTTGGGTGGTTGTGTAGTGATTTGATTTGATTATTTTCTCTTTCTTTGTGTATTGGCTCTACCAGTAAGTTTTGTAATATCACATGTTGTCATGATGGTGGCAATCTTCTTTTCATTTCCATATGTAAGACTTTCTTGGGCATCTTTTTTTTTTTTTTTGGAGTCTTGCTCTGTTGCCAGGCTGGAGTGCAGTGGCACAATCTGGGCTCACTGCAACCTCTGCCTCCCAGGTTCAAGCGATTCTCCTGCCTCAGCCTCCCGAGTAGCTGGGACTACAGGCATGCACCACCATGCCCAGCTAATTTTTGTATATTTAGTAGAGACGGGGTTTCACCATGTTGGCCAGATGGTCTTGATCTCTTGACCTCGTGATCTGCCCGCCTGGACCTCCCAAAGTGCTGGGATTACAGGCGTGAGCCACCGCGCCTGGCAGAGCATTGTTTTTAAAGCTGGTCTAATGCCGATAAATTCCTTTAGTTTTTGCTTGTTTGTGGAAGGTTTTATTTATCCATCATTTCTGAAGACTAGCTTTGCTGTGGATAATATTCTTGGGGTGATAGCTTTTTTTTTTTTCTTTTAGTACTTTGAAGATACCATCCCATATTTCCTGGTCTGTAAGGTTTCTGCTTGAGTAATCCCCTGTTAGTCTAATGGGGGTTTTCTTTCATGTGACTTGAGGCTTTTCTCCTGATGCTGTCAAAATTCTTTCTTTGTTTTTAATTTTTGACAATTAATTTGACACTATAATGTGCCTCAGAAAAGACCTATTTGAATAGAATCTATTCAGGTTTATTTGACCTTCCTGGACCTGCATATTCATCTCACATCCAAGATTTGGGAATTTGTCTGCTATTATCTTATTAGCTATGTTTTCTTCACCTTTTTCCTTCTGTTCATCTTCTGGAATATCCATAATACAAATATTTGTTCACTTTATGGTGTGCCGTAAATCTGGGCACAGAAGTGTTTCACAGGCCTGTGTTAGGGCAGCACAGTTGCTTGGCTGGACTGGGGGGCATACCCCACAGAGGCAGACTATAAGACAGTTTTCCAGGGCCTTATTGGGGGTGCAGGGCCTTTGGCCAAGCAAGGGCATGTATGTGGGGGGCAGGAGTGCTGCATGGCTGTTTCTCAGGTCCTGAGCAGGGGTGCTGGTAGCTATTCCACTGGCCCAGGGATATATTAACTGTTTGGGGGTTTCAGGGGCCTCTCCAGCTTGGGGAATGGCATGTGAACAGTTTGGCTGGCTCAAGAGTGGATTTGCCCTGGCTGGGACTAGCACATTTTTCTCTAGCTGGAAGTACAGTGATGGGGGTTGGTTTTCTTGCTGTATAGGACTAGAGTCACAGAGTCAATCCTGGACCCAAACTCCGTGTGGGTTTGACATAATGAAGATGGAACTTCAGAGCTGGAGAGGTGCAGTGACTACTGCACCTCAGAGAAGGCTTCTTTCCAGAGCAGGCTTTGATCTCAAAATGGTGTTGTGTTGCAGCAGGTTGGCTCACAGGGCATGGGTTGGGAGTATGGTGTGGTGCATATCTTCTTCTCCTAATCTGGGACAATACAGCTGTGTGAATTCTCAGTAGATGTCCAAACTGGGTTTGGGGTTGGCTCACAAGGCATGGGTTGGAGTTATGGTGTGGTGCACATCTCGTTCTCCTAATCTGGGGCAATACAGCTGTGTGAATTTCCAATAGATCTCCAAAGTGGATTTGGGGCTTGGGAAGACTAAAACTTCCCTGTAGTAAGGCCCGTAGGTGTTTACAGTGGCAACGGGGGCTGTTGGAGATCTTCTGATTACCTCCAAAATTTCCAACTTGGTTGGGCATGGTATATAATGCCCAGCACTTGGTATATACCCAGCACTTTGGGAAGCTGAGGTAGGAGAATTGCTTGAGCCCAGGAGTTCCAGACCAGCCTGAGGAACATAAGGAGACTCTATCTCTACATAAAATGTTAAAAAAAAAAAAAAAAAAGCCAGGCATTGTGGTTCATGTCTCTAGTCCCTGCTACTGGGGAGACCGAAGTGGGAAGATTACTTGAGCCCCAGAATTTGAGGTTGCTGTGAACCATGATCACACCACTGCACTCCAGCCTAGGCAAAAGAGAAAGACCATGTCTTCAAAAACAAATGAACACAAAAGTCCCTCCTGTCTCTGGGATGATCCATCCAATCCCTGTGGAAGAGAAAGGGCTGCAGAGGTTTGGTGCCTCAGTGCTGTCTTCCTGGCTTCTAATCACTACAGGTACATCTTTATACCCCTGCTGTATTTCAGCACTCTCTCTTTGACACACCAGTCAAATCTTAGTTGTTTACTATTTGCCTTGGTTCTTTCTTGTGGGAGTGATGAGTACCAGGAGTCTCTAGTCAGCCATCTTGCTGACTTGCATTATTCAGTAACATAGTTTTTCATCAAGGTATGTACATTGTCTCTTTAAAGAGGTAATGCTACTTCATATTTAATAGACAGAAGTATAGTGTAAAAATAACTTTTTTACTCACTGGGAAACCAAAACAATGTGTGTGACTCACTTTATGGTGATATTGACTTTATTACCGTGATCTGGAACTGAATCTGTAATAGCTCTAAAGTATGCCTGTATATACTGATTTTCCTATACATGCCTACCTACTATAAAGTAAAAGTTACTAATTAGGCACTGTAAGAGATTAACGAAAATAAGTAGTAATAAAATAAACTAATTGTAACAATATTCCATCATTACTATTCTTGTACTTTAGGGCCATTATTAAGTAAAATAAGGGTTTCTTGAACATAAGCACCATGATACTGGAACAGTGAATCTGATAACCAAGATGGCTACCAAGTGACTAATGGCACAGATTTCATCGCACTACTCAGAATTGCCACAATCTATCACTTATGATTATTTTCTGAAAGTTTTTGTTTAATATTTTCAGATTGTGGTTGACTGTGGTTAGCTGAAACTGTAGAAATTAAAACCATGGATAAGGGAGGGAGTGCTGTATTGTATATACATATACATAAATATACAGATACAGGTATATCTATATTATCATTTCATCTGAGAAAGAAATAAGTATTCTGGAATTATAAAACCTCTTGACTTATGAAGCTGTATAGTTTTAAATATTTTATGTTTCCTCTGCATGTTAATGGCTTTTTACTTATGCTTTTATATTTCTCTTGCCACTTTGGATAATAATCTTTTCAATACGTTTAAAATTTATACTTTTTTTACTTCTAACACAACACTTTATAACTTTCTTAACTTTCTTTTTAAATTTAGGGGTACATGTGCAGGTTTGTTATATAGGTAAACTTGTGTCTTGCAGGTTGGTTGTACGGATTATTTCATTACCCAGGTATTAAGCCTAGTTTTCATTTGTTTTTCCTTGATCCTCTCCCTCCTTAACCCCCCATGCTCTGATGAGCCCAGTGACTGTTGTTCCCCTCTATGTGTCCATGTGTCATCATCATTTTTCTCCCACTTACAAGTGAGAACATGTGGTATATGGTTTTCTGTTCCTGTGTTAGTTTGCTAGGGATAATGGCCTCCAATTCCATCTATGTTCTTGCAAAGGACATAATCTCTCTCTTTTTTTTAATAGTTGCATAGTGTTCCGTGGTGTATACATACCACATTTTCTTCATCTAGTCTACCACTGGTGGACATTTAGATTGATTCTATGTCTTTGCTATTGTGAATAATCACTTTATAATTTGAAAAGAGTGTCAGTATAATGAGTTTGGATAATTTTAAATCCATTTGCTATATTCTAACAGAAATATATTGTACTTTTACATTATTATAGTTTATCCTTTTTACTGGCTGACTGCAATACAAAATAGCTTACACATCTCATGCTCATGGATGGGTATGATCAATACTGTGAAAATGACCATACTGCCCAAAGCAATCTACAGATTCCATGCAATTCCCAATAAACTACCATCATCATTCTTCACAGAACTAGAAAAAAAAAATCCTAAAATTCATATGGGAACAAAAAAGAGCCCACATAGCCAAAACAATACTGAACAAAAAGAACAAATCTGGAGGCATCACATTACCTGACTTCAAACTATCTTATAAGGCTATTGTTGCCAAAACAGCATGGAGCATGGTACTTGTATAAAAATAGGCATGTAGACCAATGGAATAAAATAGAGAACCCATGAATAAAGCCAAATACTAACAGCCAACTTATCCTGAACAAAGCAAACAAAAACATAAAATGGGGAAAGGATATCCTTTTCAATAAATGGTGCTGGGAAACCTGGCAAGCCAATGTAGAAGAATGAAACTGTATCCTCATCTCTCACCTTATAAAAAAATCAATTCAAGACTGTTAAAAGACTTAAATCTAAAACCTAAAACTATAAAAATTCTAGAACACCATAAAAACTCTTTTAGACATTGGCTTAGGAAAATAATTCACAGCTAAGACTCAAAAAACAAATGTAACAAAAACAAAAATAAATAAATGGAACTTACTTAAAGTAAAATCTTCTGCACAGCAAAAGAAATGTTCAGTGGAGTAAACAGACAACCTACAGACTGGGAGAAAATATTCACAAACTATGCATCTGGCAAAGGACTAATATTCAGCACCTAAAGGGAATTCAAACAAATCATTAAGAGAAAAACAAATAATCCCATCAAAAATAGGCAAAGAACAAAAATAGACAATTCTAAAATGAAGATATACAAACAGCCAACAAACACATGAATAAATGCTCAACATTGCTAATTATCTGGGAAATACAAATTAAAACTACAATGAGATACCACTTTACTCCTGCAAAAATGGGCATAATTAAAAAGTCAAAAACAATAGATGTTGGTATGCTTGTGGTGAAAAGGGAACACTTTTACACTGCTGGTGGGAATGTAAACTAGTACAACCACTATGGAAAACAGTATGGAGATTTCTTAAAGAACAAAATATAGAACTACCATTTGATCCAGCAGTTCCACTACTGGGTATCTACCCAAAGGAAAATAAGTCATATGAAAAAGACACATTCACATGTATAGCAGCACACATTCACACGTATAGCAGCACAAATTGCAATCGCAAAGATATTGAACCAATCTATGTGCTCATCAACCAACGAGTAGAAAAAGCAAATGTGGTATATACACACCATGGAATACTACTCAGCCTTAAAAAGGAATGAAATGATGTCTTTTGCAGCAACCTGGATGGAGCTGGAGATGTTATTCTAGGTGAAGTAACTCAAGAATGGAAAACCAAATATTGTATGTTCTCACTTATAAGTGGGAGCTAAGCTAAGAGGATGAAAAGGCTTAAAAACGATATAATGGACTTTGAGGACTCAAGGTGGAGGGTGAGAGAGGGGTGATGAACAGAAGACTATATATTGGGTACAGTGTACACTGCTTGGATGACTGGTGCACCAAAATCTCAGGAATCACCGCTAAAGAATTTACCCATGTAACCAAAAACCACCTGTATTCCATAAACTGTTGAAATAAAAATAAAATTTATGAAAATGGAAAGCCTTCAAAACCAAAAAATAAAATAAAAATAAGACAAAATTGCATATATTTTCAGGATGAGGAAACTGAACCTCAGAGAAATTAAGTTCTAACCCATGGTCACCACTATGATTGAAGCTTAAACTTTAGGATTTAAGAGCTCTTACCTAGTCTTGAATCATAGTTTTTTCTAAAGCATCATTTTCTGTGTTTTTGTTTTTTCAAAAATTTTATGATAAGAAATTTAACATGAGAACTACCTTCTCAACAAAATTTATGTGTGTGATGCAGTATTAACTATAGGCACAATGTTGTACAATAGATCTCTAGAATTCTTATGTCATACATGATGGCAATTTAGTATCCATTGAATATAAACTCCCATTACCCCTCTCCTCAGCCCCTGGCAGCCCACCATTCTACTCTCTAATCATTGAGAGTATTATAGATATCGCACGTAAGTGGAATCACACAGTGTTTGTCAGTAAAGTCCTCCTGGTTCTACCATGATAACACATATGACAGGGTCTACTCTTTTTAAAGCTGTGTATATACCTCTTATTCGTTTGCCATTAATCTATTAATGCACATTTAGGTTGCTTCCACATTTTGGCCATTGTGAATAATACTGCATTAAACATGGACTACATATATCTTCAAAATCCTGATTTCAAGTATTTTGGATAAATACCCAGATATCGAATTGTAACTGCCAAATGGATTTTTTGCTGACTGCTCCACAGACAAAATCAATTTACTGAGACCACGGCATTGCAGTAAAGAAAAGAATGGAAAAATAAATATCATGTCATCTCATTCATAAGCTGGAGCTAAGCTATGAGGATGAAAATGCATGAGAATAAGCAAAAGAGATGAGGCTTGCCACACCATATGGGAGAGGGAGTTATTACTCAATTCAATCTCCTTGAAGGCTTGAAAGTTAGGTGCTTTTCAAAGATAGTTTGATGGGCAGAGGGCTAGGGTATGGGTGTTGCTGATCAGTTTAGGATGAATCATAGGGATGTGGAAAATGATCCTCATGTGTTGAGTGTGTTTCTGGGTGGGGGCCACATGACTGTTTGAGTCAGAGGTCCAGGTGGGGCCATCCAGCTATCAGATATACAAATATTTGAAAAGAATCTCAAAATGCCAATCTTAGGTTCTACAATAGCTATGTTATCTGCAGGAATAATTGGGGAAGCTGCAAATCTTGTGACTTCCAGGAAAAAATGGCTGGTAATCATTTTACTAGGCCTATATCTTAGCAGAACACAGACTCCTCTCATCCTCTTAACTTGGTGCCTTTGATTAGTTTTACAAAGGTGGTTTAGTTTTTGCAAAGGACTATTATCATTTAAACTATAAACTAAATTTCTCCCGAAGTTATTTGGTCCATGCCCAGAGATGAGCAAAGACAGACAGCCTGTGATGATAGAAGCAAGAAGAAGTCAGTCATGGCAGATTTCTCTTACTGTCATAATTTTGCGAAGGTGGTTTCAGAATTTCAGGATTGTATAGTAATCCTGTTTTTAATGTTTCAAGGAACTTCCATACTATTTTCAATCATGGCTGCACTGTTTTATATTCTTGTCAACAGTACACCAGGGTTCCAATTTCTCCACATTCTTATCAATACTTTTTTTTTTTAAATAATGGCCATAACAGGTGTGTGATGATATCTCATTGTGGTTTTGATCTGCAATAATTAAAATCTCCATATTACCCAAAGGGGTCTTCAGATTTAATGCATTTCCTGCAAAATCCTAGTGCTGGGTTTTACAGAAATAGAAAAAACATCGTAAAAATTATGTGCAATTACAAAAGACTTCAAATAGCCAAAGGAATCTTGAGAAAGAAAAACAAAGCTAGAGGTATTATACTTTTTTATTTCAATGATATTACAAAACTACAGTAATTAAATAGCATGGGACTGGAATAAGGACAGATATATAGACCAACGGAACAGAATAGGGAGCCTGGAAACAATCCCACATGTATATAGTCAAATGATCTTTCACAAGTGTGCCAAGAATACACAATGGGAAATTAAATTGGACCCTTGTCTTATACCATATAAAATAACCAACCCAAAATGGATTAAAAATTTAAACATAAAACCTGAAACTACAATTTCTAGAAGAAAACATAAGGAAAAACTTTAGGACCTTCAGCTTGGCAGTAACTTGTTGGATGTAACATAAAAATACAAGCAATGACATAAAAAGCCAAGTAACAAAACCAAAATTAGACAAGTAGGGCTACGTCAAAGTCAAAATCTTCTGCACAATGAAGAAAACCATCAGCCAAACAAAAAATATTTGTAAATGATATATCTAATAGGGGATTAATATCAAAATATATAAATTCAATAGCCACAATAACAATAATCTTATTTTAAAACTGGCAAAGGACTTGAATACATTTTTTTTCCAAAGAAGACATACAAATGGCCTTCAGATGTATGAAAAGATGTTCAACATCAGTAGTCATCAGGGAAATTCAAATCTGACACATTTTAAACAGAAGCCAAAGAACTCTATTGATTCAATAAGTAGGAGCATGCAGTGCCTTATTCCGGAATCATTTACTTTTTATTATTAAGTAAATCATCATGGTGCTATTTTGAAACAGAAGATAATTGGGGCATATTCCCCTTGGGACATCTCCTTGGATTTCATCAACAGTCAATTACAAAGATATAAACAATCTAAGTTAGCCATATTCATAGAATACCTAAATCTGCATTTGCTGTTCCACAGGTAAGAGAAAATTTCAGATAATTTGAAGAATATTTCGGCAGCTAGAACCTACAATATCAAGAATAACTATGTTTTTTTTTACTAAACTTTTTAGCTGCTAAACACCAAGAACTAAACACTTCAGTTCTGGACTATTACATATGTGAATCAAGTGTATTCATCAAAATATGATTTATTTAGAGTTATGCCTAAGAATTAAAATCCAACACTTACTAGAAAACAATAAAAAATAGAAAATATTGTATTTGTACTTATAGAGATAAATAAGAGTGCTCCTAATAGAGTATATGCTTGTATTTTTCTTATAGATAAAGATAGTTCAAAGGTCATGAATTTACCAATAAATATCAACAAAGGGCAAAAAAACATTTGACTTATTCATTTATCTGGGGTCTTGTATTTTGAAGTAATAAGGAAAACAATCAATACTTATTTTAAATTTATTTTCTGGCTTTATAATCTAGAAGTCACTTCAGATTGCTACTTATTTTATGTTTCTCTAGATTTAATGGCTTAAAAAATACAAATACATCGAGAATCATGTTTTGCTTTACCTTTATTTCCCTGAGGTCAGCAGAGGGGTAAGAGGAAGAGTGTTCCAGTTGCAGAATGAAGCCATTTATGAGGCCATGAAAAAATGCAAAAATTTCATGTACAATGAGAGAAACCTGGGATTGAATCTTGGCTCTGGAAATTGTTAGCTATGAAAGTTGCTATAAAGGTGAAATAAGGTAATGTACAAGAAATGTCTGTTCTTGCAGCAAGTGCTAAATAAATGCCTGTTATTTAGCAAACTTAGTGTTTCGTTATTACATTCACGATATTTAAAGTTTTCTCCCTTCCATTAAAATTTGTTTCATAAAAATAGATTTGCATTAATTTAAAAAGTTGATTCTATATTATTAAATCTTCAAGAATCATAGTGATTTTCTCTTTATAACTCTGAATCTTTGACTATGTGCTAATATTAACTTAATTTTTACCCAATATAACTTATTTTGGCATCTAGTAGAAATGCCTGTCTCACAAGAAATTTGGTTGAAGTATCTTATTTGCACAAAGCAAAATTAAGACAATTGTAATGTAGAAAATGGAATCATGGTAATTTGCATGTTTATTTTTGGCATAAAATGATCAAGTAATTCACAAAACTTCTTCATTCTCCAAAGAATAATTCAGAGACATTTGAATGAGCAGATGAAAAAAATCATAACTGTTCATTGGATTTAATCTTGATAGAATGTAGAACCAACTTAATTCAGCATATTCTATAATCAAAATTATTTTACATATTATATTTTATTAATGCAATTTTCCTTCAATATTTACTCCAATCTTGTGAACAAACTATTAATGTTCTCATTCTATAGACAAGTAGATATAGCAAATCATTTTGCACAATTGCTACAAGTTCTAAAATTCTGGTATTGTATTCCAATGCTCTGTCCCCTGATACAGTCTCTTGTGTATTTGGATGCCCAAAGATTGTTTAAGCCACTCATTTTTGTGTGTTTTAATATTATTTAATATATAAACAGCTTAATACAATTCAGTGGTAAATTAACCAGTAGACCTGATGATTTTAGAAACAGAATAAGTCCAGCCAACTAATGAACGTCCATTTCTTCCATTTGATTCTGCAGTGAGTGGCATGAACACATGGCTGACCAGTTTGTCACTGTCTTCTGATTCACTACTAGAGAATTATGCACTGCTGAATATATGTCGTACAGTATATACAAGAGCACAGTTAACATCCCCTTGAGTCATGGTGTTGTTCATTCTTTTTGTCATAATATGAACTGTAACTTTATGCATATCTTCAAGTTTGTTCTAGATTTCAACATGAAGAATGTCACTGAAGTTACCTTATTTGTACTGAAGGGCTTCACAGACAATCTTGAACTGCAGACTATCTTCTTCTTCCTGTTTCTAGCAATCTACCTCTTCACTCTCATGGGAAATTTAGGACTGATTTTAGTGGTCATTAGGGATTCCCAGCTCCACAAACCCATGTACTATTTTCTGAGTATGTTGTCTTCTGTGGATGCCTGCTATTCCTCAGTTATTACCCCAAATATGTTAGTAGATTTTACGACAAAGAATAAAGTCATTTCATTCCTTGGATGTGTAGCACAGGTGTTTCTTGCTTGTAGTTTTGGAACCACAGAATGCTTTCTCTTGGCTGCAATGGCTTATGATCGCTATGTAGCCATCTACAACCCTCTCCTGTATTCAGTGAGCATGTCACCCAGAGTCTACATGCCACTCATCAATGCTTCCTATGTTGCTGGCATTTTACATGCTACTATACATACAGTGGCTACATTTAGCCTATCCTTCTGTGGAGCCAATGAAATTAGGCGTGTCTTTTGTGATATCCCTCCTCTCCTTGCTATTTCTTATTCTGACACTCACACAAACCAGCTTCTACTCTTCTACTTTGTGGGCTCTATCGAGCTGGTCACTATCCTGATTGTTCTGATCTCCTATGGTTTGATTCTGTTGGCCATTCTGAAGATGTATTCTGCTGAAGGGAGGAGAAAAGTCTTCTCCACATGTGGAGCTCACCTAACTGGAGTGTCAATTTATTATGGGACAATCCTCTTCATGTATGTGAGACCAAGTTCCAGCTATGCTTCGGACCATGACATGATAGTGTCAATATTTTACACCATTGTGATTCCCTTGCTGAATCCCGTCATCTACAGTTTGAGGAACAAAGATGTAAAAGACTCAATGAAAAAAATGTTTGGGAAAAATCAGGTTATCAATAAAGTATATTTTCATACTAAAAAATAAATTATAAAAGGTGAGGGTGATACTCTGCACCTCAATACCAAGAATGTGTCATTGTGGTGTTATGATATATGTTGGTTTCCATCCAGGGTTCCTGGCTCATAATTCCCATAGCCTTTGTTACAGTCTTTTGTTATAATGTTGGGTGTTATACCTCAGGGGCAGGCCTTTTACCTTCTCCTGCCCTCCTTTCACTTGCACCAAGGCTGGGTTCCAATGTCTGCCTTACTGATTGTGAATCTTAAGACTCTCCCATGAGAGAGTCCCACCCTATACCTTCGGGGAGGGAATGCTGATGCCTTGAAGCTTCCATAGAACCTAGGAGGATAGGGTTCAGTGAGCTTCTGGGGAGCAGAACAAATGGAAGTTCCTAGAGGGTGGCATGGTCAGGGAGGGCATGGAAACTCTGCACCCCTTTCCTTATACTTTGCCCTACACATCCCTTCACCAGTGTCCTTTGCAATATCCTTTTCAATAAGCCAGTAATATGTTTCCCTGAGTTTTGTGAGCTGCTTCAGTAATTTAATGAAACCCAAAGAGGGGGTCATGGGAGATCCAACTTGAAGCAGGTTGGTCAAAGTTTCAGAGACCCGAATTTGTGACTGGTGTTGTCAGGGGGCAGTTTTGGGGACTGAACCCTCAACCTATGGGATCTGACACTATCTCTGGGTAGATAGTGTTGCAACTGAATTAGAGGATACCCAGTTGGTGATTACCACGTGGTGTGGGAGGAAGAAATCCCTACCCATTTGATCACAGAAGTCTTCTGTGTTGATGATTGTTGTGGTATGACAGTAGAGGAAAAACCTGGTTAGCAAGAGTTTTCCCTAGACGATAATAAAAATGTTTAATTTATTAGTGTAATCCTGTTTTTTTTCTTGGACGTTTTAAAATAAAGATCATAAGTGACCCTGTACCTATGCTGTTCTTACATGTAGAAAAATCTGTGTCATCTATTTTCTTTATGTATGTATACATATACATATGTTCACGTATACATGTACATACATGCTGATAGTCATTGATATACACAAAAATGCACATTCACAGGCATTTATGTTTGTAACCTTTACTTAAAAATGTGTATTGTTTTCTTTCATCTCCATATAATGAATATTTTGAATATTTTGCTAAAATATGATTAATACATCTAAATCACACTTCAAAAGTATAAATATAGAGCATATCCTCCCACAGAATATTTCTACATAATACATCTGCATTTATTTTCTCCTGTTTGGAGGCTCTGTCCTCTGATATTATGTGATTCCTTACTTCAAAAGTCAAAATTAAGTTATGGTCATTGATATTCATCATATGTGTGTGCAAAATCATGCAAATGAGGACAGCCCCTGTGTGCATATGTGTGGCGTGTGTGTGCTTGTGTGTATGTTTTAGAATAGAAGAGATCTTTAAACACCACTTAAAATCAGAAAGATTGTTTTCATTCTTTAAAAATTGTAAAGTCTGCATGACAAAAAGTACCAAAAATATAATAAAAAACCAAACTACAGACTTGGGAAAATAGATACAATCATTCATTTGTTGAGTTAATTCATAATAAAATTTATAGCACAATGCATAAAATATACATGGATAAAATTCATAAAAGGTGAAACCTCTTATGGACAATGGATATACTTTAATAATAATCTAGAAAATGTAAATGTGAAATGATAGAAAACACTCAAACACTTTTGGGTAATTTGCTAGCAAATACAAACTAAGGTGAGTACACTAAATTTGAAACTTTATAAACTAAAAGCTTTCATAAAATAAACAATTTCTTTTCATGTATCAGACACAATTTGTTATCAAGAATACACATCAGTTACATGGGCAAAATAAAAGTTGGGACTTAATTTAAAAAGGCACACAACATGTAAAATTATATCTAAACTCATTTAAAAATAATATATTAAGGTAAAATTCCCATGTGATAAAATTAACTATTTATGGGAATAATTAATTCAGTGGCAATTACTACATTCACAATATTGTGCAATCACCACCTCTGTCTAGCTCCAGAACACGTCCATCAGTAAGAAGTACACAATAAGTAGTTTCTCCCCAGTTCTCACTTACTCCAGCCCCCCAAAATCTGTGCTCCATGTCTGTATTTTCCTATTCTGGATATTTCTTATAAAGGAACCATAGAAAAGTGACCTTTGCTTCCTGTTCTGCTTTCACTTAGCATAATGTTTTCAAACATTATTTGAAAACATTCCATGTCTGTTGTAGCATGGGTTGTTTTATCATTTATTTTATTTTATTTTATTTATTTATTTATTTATTTATTTATTTATTTATTTATTTATTTTTTGAGACGGAGTCTTGCTCTGTCGCCCAGGCTGGAGTGCAGTGGCACGATCTCGGCTCACTGCAAGCTCCGTCTCCCGAGTTCACGCCATTCTCCTGCCTCAGCCTCCCGAGTAGCTGGGAGTACAGGCGCCCACCACCACCATGCCCGGCTAATTTTTTGTATTTTTAGTAGAGACGGGGTTTCACCGTGTTAGCCAGGATAGTCTCGATCTCCTGACCTTGTGATCTGCCCGCCTCGGCTCCCCAAAGTGCTGGGATTACAGGCTTGAGCCACCGCGCCCGGCCTCTTTTATTTTTTAAATTGTGTTTTATTGTGCTTTACATGAAATATACCCTCTAACATTTGTAAGTTTACATTACTTTTAATTATAGGCACAATGTTGGAAGTAGATCCTTAGAACTTATTTATCTTGCATATTGAGACTTTATACCTGTTGATTAAAAACTCCCCATTTCTCCCAGCTCCTAGTCCGTTGAAACTGCCATTCTACTTTCTGGTTCTATAAGTTTGAGTATTTTATAGATTCTTCCTATAAATGGAATCATGCAGTATTTATTATTTTGTTACTGGTTTGTTTCATTTAGTATAATGTCCTCCAGGTTAATCCATGTTCTCCTATATTGCAAGATGCCCATATTTTAAGGCTGAATAATATGCCATTGCATGTATATGCCACATTTCCTTTACCCATTCATCCATCAATGGACTCTGAGATTGTTTCCACCTCTTGGCTATTTTGAATAATGCTGCATGAACATGGGTGTTCTAATATCTTTTTGATATTGTAATATAAACTCTTTTGGATAAATACCCCAAATTTGGAGAGATTATTGGATGATATGGTAGTTCTATATTTTTTTAGCAGTTTCCATAGTGTCTGCACCATTTTGCTTTTCATTGAAAAATTTCAAGGGTCCTAACTTCTTCATATTTTTTTCAATAATTGCTGTCTTTTATTTTCTTTTTAATAATTATCATCCTCACACATCCTCACAGGTATAAGGTGATATTTCATTGTGGTGTTGATTTGCATTTTCCTCCTGAGTGGTGATCTTGAGTATCTTTTCATATATCTGTTGGTCATTTGTATCTCTTCTTTGAAGAAATGTCAATTCATGTCTTTAGCCTGTTTTCAATTGGGTCATTAGGATTTTTTGTTTGTTTGTTTGTCGATATAGAGTTGTAGGAGTTTTTAATATATTTTAGAAGTTAAACCCTTATCAGATATATGGTTTGCAAATATTTTCTCCCATTTTGTATACTGTATATACACTGTGTTGATTGTTTCCTTAACTATGCAGAAGTTTTTTAGTTTGATAAATTCCAACTTGTCAATTTTGTTTTTATTTTGCTGTCTGTACTTTTGGTATCATCTTCAAGCAATCATTCCCAAGACTAATGTAATAAAAATTTTCTCTATCTTTTCTCCTAGGAGTTTTGAATTTTCAGGTCTTATGTTTAATCCATTTTGAGTTGACTTTTGAGTATAATTAGATAAGGGCCCAATTTTATTCTTTTGCGTGTGGATATCCAGTTTTCCCAGAACCGTTTGTTGAAGAGACTCTCCTTTACTCTGTGTTAGGAGCCCTGTCGAAGATGTGGACCATATATATGTGGATTTGTTCTTTTGATCTCTCTCTATCTTCCAGTGGTCTATATGTCAGTCTGTATGTAAGTACCATACAGTTTTGTTTTGTTATTTTTTTGAGGCAGAGTCTCAATGTGTCACCCAGGCTGGAGTGCACTGGTGCAGTGGCCTGATTGTGGTTCACTGCAGACAACGTTCTGGATTTAAGAGATCCTCCTGCCTCAGCCTCCCAAAAAGCTGGGACTAGAGGTGCATATCACCATGCCCAGGTAATTTTTATGTTATTTTATTTTTTGTAGAGATGAGATCTAATTATGTTGCCAAGACTGGTTTTGAACTTCTGGCCTCAAGCAATCCACTTTCCTCAGCCTTCCAAATTGCTGGCACTATAGGCGTGAAACACTATGTTTTGTCCTGTGCAGTTTTAATTACTGCAGATTTGTAATATATTTTGAAATTAGAAAATATGGAACCTCCAGTTTTGTTCTTCGTCTTCTAGATTATTTTGACTACTCAGGGTGTTTTGTGGTTCCATATAAAATTTAGGGCTTTCTTTTTTTCTGTTACTGTAAACCAGGTCTTTGGGGTTTTGGAGATTTCATTGAACCTGCAAAGCGCTTTGGATAGAATAGGCATTTTAACAATATTAAGTTCTCCAATTCATGAACCTAGGATGACTTTCCATTTGTTATATTCTTGAATTTATTTCACAAATGTTTTGTAGTTTTCAGTCTACACACCTTCCTCCTCCTTAGTTAAGTTTATTCTATTTTATTCAAAAGCTATATTTATTTTACAGAGAGGGATAATATCCTACTGTATGCATATATCGCAATTTGTGTATCCATTTATCTGTTGATGGAAATTTTGACTTTGTTTTTCTTAACCTCTTGGCTAATGTGAGTAGAGCTGCCTCTACATGACTTTGTTTGATTACCTGGGTATATATCTTGTAGTGGAATTGTAGTCATATGGTAATTCTATGTTTAACTTTTTGAGGAACTGCCAAACTGCTTTGTATAGTAGCTTAGTACCTGAATGATTTTACATTTACATTCCCAACAGCAAAGCACGAGGGTATAAGTTTATCCACATCCTCACCAACGTTTGCTATTTTCTGTCTTCCATTCTGATTGATATGAAGTGGTATTTCATTGTGATTCTCATTTACAATTCTCTAATAACTAATGTTGAGTAACTTTCATGTTTTTATTGGGCATTTGTTTATCTCTCTGGAGAAAATTTTATTCAAGTATTTTTGTCATTTTTAAGTAGACTTCTGAGGTTATTTGACTCCTTATTGTTGAGTTGTGGGAGTTTTTTTTATGTATTCTAGTTATCTAATACCTATCAAATGTATTATTTGAAAATTTTCCCTTCCACTTTTTAGGTTGTCTTTTCACTGTCTTTATAATGTCCTTTGATGAGGAAATATTTTTAATTTTGATGAAGCTTGATTTATAAATTTTCTGCTGTTGTTGCTTGTAGCTGGGGTAGCATGTTTAGGAATCTATTGCCAAACACAAAGAAGGTCGTGAAGATTTACACCTATGTTGTCTTCTAAGAGTTTTATCATTTTACTTTTATATTTAGGGTGTTGATTTGAAGTTAATTTTTGTGTATAATTAGATGTAGTGGTTCTTCTTTATTAATTTTTGTGTGGCTATTCAGTTGTCTGGTAGACTAAATGTATTTTTAATTATTGTTCAAAGTAAAATTTTAATGATATTTTATTGCTTCCTTTATTTACCAAAATAGGAGCTTCCTGGAATTATTAAAACTGCTAGAGGTGTGAGTGGAAAAATATCCCCAACTTTTTCCTGGCTGTATGAACATTAAATATTTGCAAATGTAAGTACTAACATATATTATAAATAGAAATACCAAAAAATTTTTGTTGCATCTAACAGATTTGAAAATATTGACACTATGTGGCCTAACAATTTCCAAGCGTCATCCAAGTGTACAGACTTGATAGAATATTGTATGAGAGAAAAATGAGGACTAAAAAGATGTGAGTTACATTGTTTCATGTAATATAGAAGACTCAACACAACCAATTTTTTAATCTAGTTTAAATGCATAAACAAATCTATAACAATCAAGATATGTAAATAACAAAATCATATTCTTTGAAGAAAAAATAAGTCAATCAAAAATGATGTAGACATCATAAATTCCCTCACATAAATTTAAAACTACATAAGTAGAAATGATACATAACGTTTATTTACCAAAAATATAATAGTAAATTGATTTATTTTAAAAACTAGACAGAATTTATTAACCTTGAAGACATTGTGTTAAGTAAAATAAGTCCATCACAAAAGGACCAGTACTCTGTGATGTCACTTATATAAGGTATGCAAAATAATCAAATGCATAAACACAGAGGAGAATGGGGGTTTCCAGGTGCTGGGGCTAGGAAGCAGGAATAAATGGAGAGTTACTATAAAACAGGTATAGCATTTCAGTCACGCCAGTGGATTAAGTTCTAGAGAGGTTCTGTATTTATCTATTTTTTGTTGTTGTTGCCCGTATAGGTAAGATTACTGCCATATACACTTACCATTTTTTTATTATTATACTTTAAGTTTTAGGGTACATGTGCACAATGTACAGGTTAGTTACATATGTATACATGAGCCATGTTGGTGTGCTGCACCCATTAACTCGTCATTTAACATTAGGTATATCTCCTAATGCTATCCCTCCCCACTCCCCCCACCCCACAACAGGCCCCGGTGTGTGATGTTCCCCTTCCTGTGTCCATGTGTTCTCATTGTTCAATTCCCACCAATGAGTGAGAACATGCAGTGTTTTGTTTTTTGTCCTTGCGATAGTTTGCTGAGAATGATGGTTTCCAGCTTCATCCATGACCCTACAAAGGACATGAATTCATCATTTTTTATGGCTGCATAGTATTCCATGGTGTATATGTGCCACATTTTCTTAATCTAGTCTATCATTGTTGGACATTTGAGTTGGTCCAAGTCTTTGCTATTGTGAATAGTGCCGCAATAAACATACGTGTGCATGTGTCTTTATAGCAACATGATTTATAATCCTTTGGGTATATACCCAGTAATGGGATGGCTGAGTCAAATGGTATTTCTAGTTCTAGATCCCTGAGGAATTGCCACACTGACTTCCACAATGGTTGAACTAGTTTACAGTCCCACCAACAGTGTAAAAGTGTTCCTATTTCTGCACATCCTCTCCAGCACCTGTTGTTTCCTGACTTTTTAATGATCGCCATTCTAACTGGTGTGAGATGGTATCTCATTGTGGTTTTGATTTGCATTTCTCTGATAGCCAGTGATGATGAGCCTTTCTTCATGTGTCTTTTGGCTGCATAAATGCCTTCTTTTGAGAAGTGTCTGTTCAAGTCCTTTGCCCACTTTTTGATGGGGTTGTTTGTTTTTTTCTTGTAAATTTGTTTGAGTTCATTGTAGATTCTGGATATTAGCCCTTTGTCAGATGAGTAGATTGCAAAAATGTTCTCCCATTCTGTAGGTTGCCTGTTCACTCTGATGGTAGTTTCTGTTACTGTGCAGAAGCTCTTTAGTTTAAATAGATCCTATTTGTCAATTTTGCTTTTGTTGCCATTGCTTTTGGTGTTTTAGACATGAAGTTCTTGCCCATGCCTATGTCCTGAATGGTATTGCCTAGGTTTTCTTCTAGGGTTTTTATGGTTTTAGGTCTAACTTTTAAGTCTTTAATCCATCTTGAATAAATTTTTGTATAAGGTGTAAGGAAGGGATCCAGTTTCAGCTTTCTACATATGGCTAGCCAGTTTTCCCAGCACCATTTATTAAATAGGGAATCCTTTCCCCATTACTTGTTTTTGTCAGGTTTGTCAAAGATCAGATGGTTGTAGATATGCGGCATTATTTCTGAGGGCTCTGCTCTGTTCCATTGGTCTATATCTCTGTTGTGTTACCAGTACCATGCTGTTTTGGTAGCAGTACCATGCTGTTTTGGTTACTGTAGCCTTGTAGTATAGTTTGAAGTCAGGTAGCATGATGCCTCCAGCTTTGTTCTTTTGGCTTAGGATTGACTTGGCAATGTGGGCTCTTTTTTGGTTGCATATGAACTTTAAAGTAGTTTTTTCCAATTCTTTAAAGAAAGCCATTGGTAGCTTGATGGGGATGGCATTGAATCTATAAATTACCTTGGGCAGTATGGCCATTTTCATGATATTGATTCTTCTTACCCATGAGCATGGAATGTTCTTCCATTTGTTTGTATCCTCTTTTATTTCATTGAGCAGTTGTTTCTAGTTCTCCTTGAAGAGGTCCTTCACGTTCCTTGTAAGTTGGATTCCTAGGTATTTTATTCTCTTTGAAGCAATTGTGAATGGAAGTTCACTCATGATTTGGCTCTCTGTTTTTGATATACAAGAATGCTTGTGATATTTGCACATTGATTTTGTATCCTGAGACTTTGCTGAAGTTGCCTATCAGCTTAAGGAGATTTTGGGCTGAGACGATGGGGTTTTCTAGATCTACAATCATGTCATCTGCAAACAAGGATAATTTGACTTTCTCTTTTCCTAATTGAATACCCTTTATTTCCTTCTCCTGCCTAATTGCCCTGGCCAGAACTTCCAACACTATGTTGAATAGGAGTGGTGAGAGAGGACATCCTTGTCTTGTCCCTGTTTTCAAAGGGAATGCATCCAGTTTTTGCCCATTCAGTATGATATTGGCTGTGGGTTTGTCATAGATAGCTCTTATTATTTTGAGATATGTCCCATCATTACCTAATTTATTGAGAGTTTTTAGCATGAAGTGTTGTTGAGTTTTGTCAAAGGCCTTTTCTGCATCTATTGAGATAATCATATGGTTTTTGTCATTGGTTCTGTTTACATGCTGGATCACGTTTATTGATTTGTGTATGTTGAACCAGCCTTGCATCCCAGGGATGAAGCCCACTTGATCATGGTGGATAAGCTTTTTGATGTGCTGCTGGATTCAGTTTGCCAGTATTTTTTTGAGGATTTTTGCATCGATGTTCATCAGGGATATTGGTCTAAAATTCTCTGTTTTTGTTGTGTCTCTGCCAGGCTTTGGTATCAGGATGATGCTGGCCTCATAAAATGAGTTAGGGAGGATTCCCTCTTTTTCTATTGATTGGAATAGTTTCAGGAGGAATGGTACCAGCTCCTCCTTGTACCTCTGGTAGAATTCGGCTGTGAATCCATCTGGTCCTGGACTTTTTTTGGTGGGTAAGCTATTGATTATTGCCACAATTTCAGCTCCTGTTATTGGTCTATTCAGAGATTCAACTTCTTCCTGGTTTAGTCTCGGGAGGGTGTATGTGTCGAGGAAGTTATCCATTTCTTCTAGATTTTCTAGTTTATTTGCATAGAGGTGTTTGTAGTATTCTCTGATGGTAGTTTGTATTTCTGTGGGATCAGTGGTGATATCCCCTTTATCATTTTTTATTGCATCTATTTGCTTCTTCTCTCTTTTCTTCTTTATTAGTCTTGCTAGTGAGCTATCTATTTTGTTGATCTTTTCAAAAAACAAGCTCCTGGATTCATTGATTTTTTTGAAGAGGTTTTTGAAGGGTTTATTTCCTTCAGTTCTACTCTGATCTTAGTTATTTCTTGCCTTCTGCTAGCTTTTGAATGTGTTTGCTCTTGCTTCTCTAGTTCTTTTAATTGTGATGTTAGGGTGTCAATTTTAGATCTTTCCTGCTTTCTCTTATGGGCATTTAGTGCTATAAATTTCTCTCTACACACTGCTTTGAATGTGTCCCAGAGATTCTGGTATGTTGTGTCTTTGTTCCTGTTGGTTTCAAAGAACATCTTTATTTCTGCCTTCATTTCATTATGTACCCAGTAGTCATTCAGGAGCAGGTTGTTCAGTTTCCATGTAGTTGGGCAGTTTTGAGTGAGTTTCTTAATCCTGAGTTCTAGTTGGATTGCACTGTGGTCAGAGAGAAAGTTTGTTATAATTTCTGTTATTTTACATTTGCTGAGGAGTGCTTTACTTCCAACTATGTGGTCAATTTTGGAATAGGTGTGGTGTGGTGCTGAGAAGAATGTATATTCTGTTGATTTGGGGTGGAGAGTTCTGTAGATGTCTATTAGGTCTGCTTGGTGCAGAGCTGAGTTCAATTCCTGGATATCCTTGTTAACTTTCTGTCTCGTTGATCTGTCTAATGTTGACAGTGGGGTGTTAAAGTCTCCCATTATTATTGTGTGGGAGTCTAAGTCTCTTTCTAGGTCACTAAGGACTTGCTTTATGAATCTGGGTACCCTTGTATTGGGTGCATATATATTTAGGATAGTTAGCTCTTCTTGTTGAATTGATCCCTTTACCATTATGTAATGTCCTTCTTTGTCTCTTTTGATCTTTGTTGGTTTAAAGTCTGTTTTATCAGAGACTAGGATTGCAGCCCCTACCTCTTTTTGTTTTCCATTTGCTTGGTAGATCTTCCTCCATCCCTTTATTTTGAGCCTATGTGTGTCTCTGAACGTGAGATGGGTTTCCTAAATACAGTGCACTGATGGGTCTTGACTCTTTATCCAATTTGCCAGTCTGTGTCTTTTAATTGGAGCATTTAGCCCATTTACATTTAAGGTTAATATTTTTATGTGTGAATTTGACCCTGTCATTATGATGTTAGCTAGTTATTTTGCTCGTTAGTTGATGCAGTTTCTTCCTAGCCTTGATGGTCTTTCCAATTTGGCATGTTTTTGCAGTGGCTGGTACTGGTTGTTCCTTTCCATGTTTAGTGCTTCCTTCAGGAGCTCTTTTAGGGCAGGCCTGATGGTGACAAAATCTCTCAGCATTTGCTTGTCTGTAAAGGATTTTAATTTCTTCTTCACTTATGAAGCTTAGTTTGGCTGGATATGAAATTCTGAGTTGAAAATTCTTTTCTTTAAGAATGTTGAATATTGGCCCCCACTCTCTTCTGGCTTCTAGAGTTTCTGCTGAGAGATCCGCTGTTAGTCTGATGGGCTTCCCTTTGTGGGTAGCCCAACCTTTCTCTCTGGCTGCCTTTAACATTTTTTCCTTCATTTCAACTTTGGTGAATCTGACAATTATGTGTCTTGGAGTTGCTCTTCTCGAGGAGTATCTTTGTGGCATTCTCTGTATTTCCTGAATTTGAATGTTTGCCTGCCTTGCTAGATTGGGGAAGTTCTCCTGGATAATATCCTGCAGAGTGTTTTCCAACTTGGTTCCATTCCCCCCGTCACTTTCAGGTACACCAGACGGAGCTTTGGTCTTTTCACATAGTCCCATATTTCTTGGAGGCTTTGTTCATTTCTTATCATTCTTTTTTCTCTAAACTTCTCTTCTCACTTCATTTCATTCATTTCGTCTTCCATCGCTGATACCCGTCCTTCCAGTTGATTGAATCGGCTACTGAGGCTTGTGCATTCAGCATGTAGTTCTCATGCCTTGGTTTTCAGCTTCATTAGGTCCTTTAAGGACTTCTCTGCATTGGTTATTCTAGTTAGCCATTCATCTAATTTTTTTTCGAGGTTTTTAACTTCTTTGTCATGGGTTCGAAATTCCTCCTTTAGCTCTGAATAGTTTGATCGTCTGAAGCCTTCTTCTCTCAACTCATCAAAGTCATTCTCTGTCCAGCTTTGTTCCATTGCTGGTGAGAAGCCGCGTTCCTTTGGAGTAGGAGAGGCGCTCTGATTTTTACAGTTTCATTTTTCTCCTCTGCTGTTACCCCCATCTTTGTGGTTTTATCTGCCTTTGGTCTTTGGTGATGGTGATGTACAGGTGGGGTTTTGGTGTGGATGTCCTTTCTGTTTGTTAGTTTTCCTTCTAACCATCAGGACCCTCAGATGCAGGTCTGTTGGAGTTTGCTGGAGGTCTACTCCAGACCCTGTTTGCCCGGGTATCAACACTGGAGGCTGCAGAACAGTGGATATTGGTGAACAGCAAATGTTGCTGCCTTATCATTCCTCTGGAAGTTTTGTCTCAGAGGAGTACCCAGTCGTGTGAGGTGTTAGTCTGCCCCTACTGGGGGGTGCCTCCCAGTTAGTCTACTCAGGGGTCAGGGACCCACTTGACGAGGCAGTCTGTCCGTTTTCAGATCTCCAGCTGCGTGCTGGGAGAACCACTACTCTCTTCAAAGCTGTCAGACAGGGACATTTAAGTCTGCAGAGGATTCTACTGCCTTTTGTTTGTCTATGCCCTGCCCCCAGAGGTGGAGTCTACAGAGGCAGGCAGGCCTCCTTGAGCTGCAGCGGGCTCTACCCAATTCAAGCTTCCGGGCTGTTTTGTTTACCTACTCAAGCCTCGGCAATATTGGGTGCCCCTCCCCCAGCCTTACTGCTGCCTTGCAGTTTGACCTCAGACTGCTGTGCTAGCAATGAGCAAGGGTCCATGGGCATAGGACCCTCCGAGCCAGGCACAAGATATAATCTCCTGGTGTGCTGTTTGCTAAGACTGTTAGAAAAGTGCAGTATTAGGGTGGGAGTGACCCAATTTTCCAGGTGCCGTCTGTCACCCTTTTCTTTTACTAGGAAAGGGAATTCCCTGATCCCTTGTGCTTCCCAGGTGAGGCGATGCCTCGCCCTGCTTCAGGTCACACTCAATGCTCTGCACCCACTGTCCTGCACCCACTTTCCCACACTCCCCCGTGAGATGAACCCGGTACCTCAGTTGGAAATGCAGAAATCACCCATTTTCTGCGTTGCTCATGCTGGGAGCTGTAGACTGGAGCTGCTCCTATTCGGCCATCTTGGCTCCACCCCCACACTTACAATTTTTAAGATGATAAATCTCTCTTGAAAAGAGAATAAAAGGTTGTGATAGTCTTTATTTCTGCCTTAATTTCGTTATTTACCCAGTAGTTTCTCAGGAGCAGGTTGTTCAGTTTCCATGTAGTTGTGTGGTTTTGAATGAATATGTTAATCCTGAGTTCTAATTTGATTGCACTGTGGTCTGAGAGACTGTTTGTTATGATTTCCATTCTTTTGAATTTGTTTTACTTACAATTATGTGGTTAATTTTAGAATAAGTGTGATGTGGTGCTGAGAAGAATGCATATTCTGTTGATTTGGGGTGGAGAGTTCTGTAGATGTCTATTAGGTCCTCTTGGTCCAGAGCCGAGTTCAAGTCCTGGAAATCCTTGTTAATTTTCTGTCTCATTGATCTGTCTAATATTGACAGTGAGGTGTTAAAGTCTCCCACTATTATTGTGTGGGAATCTAAGATGTTCTTTGAAACCAATTAGAACAAAGACACAACATACCAGAATCTCTGGGGCACATTTAAAGCAGTGTATAGAGGGAAAATTGTAGCACTAAATGCCCACAAGAGAAAGCAGGAAAGATCTAAAATTGACACCCTAACATCACAATTAAAGTAATTAGAGAAGCAAGCGCAAACAAATACAAAAGCTAGCAGAAGACAAGAAATAACTAAGATCAGAGCAGAACTGAAGGAGATAGAGACATGAAAAACCCTTCAAAAAATCAATGAATCCAGGAGCTTGTTTTTTGAAAAGATCAACAAAATAGATAGCTCACTAGCCAGACTAATAAAGAAGAAATGAGAGAAGAATCAAATAGATGCAATAAAAAATGATAAAGGGGATATCACCACTGATCCCACAGAAATACAAACTACCATCAGAGAATACTATAAACACCTCTATGCAAATATACTAGAAAATCTAGAAGAAATGGACAAATTCCTGGACACACACACCCTCCCAAGACTAAATCAGGAAGAAGTTGAATCCCTGAATAGAACAATAACAAGTTCTGAAATTAAGGCAGTAATTAATAGTCTACCAACCCCCAAAATAAATCCAGGACCAGATGGATTCACAGCCAAATTCTACCAGAGGTACAAAAAGGAGCTGGTACCATTCCTTCTGAAACTATTCCAATCAATAGAAAAAGAGGGAATTCTCCCTAACTCATTTTACGAGGCCAATGTAATCCTGATAAACCTGGCAGCGACACAACACAAAAGAAAATTTTAGGCCAATATCCCTGATGAACATCAATGTGAAAATCCTCAATAAATACTGGCAAACTGAATCCAGCAGCACATCAAAAAGCGTATACACCACGATCAAGTAGGCTTCATCCCTGGGATGCAAAGCTGGCTCAACATACACAAATCAATAAACATAATCCATCACATAAACAGAACCAATGACAAAAACCACATGATTATCTCAATAGATGCAGAAAAGGCCTTCAACAAAATTCAACAGTCCTTCATGCTAAAGACTCTCAATAAACTAGTTATTGATGGAACGTATCTCAAAATAATAAGAGCTATTTATGACAAACCCACAGCCAATATCATACTGAATTGGCAAAACCTGGAAGCATTACCTTTGAAAACTGGCACAAGACAAGGATTCCCTCTCTTACCAACCCTATTCAACAAAGTATTGGAAATTCTGGCCAGGGCAATCAGGCAAGAGAAAGAAATAAATTGTATTCCATAGGAAGAGAGGAAGTCAAATTGTCTCTGTTGGCAGATGACATGATTGTATATTTTTAGAAAACCCCATCATCTCAGCTCAAAATCTCCTTAAGCTGATAAGCAACTTCAGCAAAGTCTGAGGATATAAAATCAATGTGCAAAAATCACAAGTATTTCCATACACCAAAAACAGACAAACAGCCAAATAATGAATGAACTCCCATTCACAATTGCTATTAAGAGAATAAAATACCTTGGAATACAACATACAAGCAATGTGAAGGACCTCTTCAAAGAGAACTACAAAACACTGCTCAAGGAAATATGATACAACACAAACAAATGGAAAAACATTCCATGCTAATGGATAGGAAGAATCAGTATAGTGTAAATGGTCATACTACCCAAAATAATTTATAGAATCAGTGCTGTCCCCATCAAGGTACCATTGACTTCCTTCACAGAGTTGGAAAAGACTACTTTAAATTTCATATGGAACCAAAGAAGAGCCCGCATAGCCAAGACAATCCTAAGCAAAATGAACAAAGCTGGAGGCATCATACTACCTGACTTCAAACTATACTACAAAGCTACGGTAACCAAAACAGCATGGTACTGGCACAAAAACAGATATATAGACCAGTGAAACAGAACAGAGGCCTCAGAAATAACTCCACACATCTACAACCATCTGATCTTTGACAAAGGGCTAATATCCAGAATTTGCAAAGAACCTAAACAAATTTACACGAAAAAAAAACATCAAAAATCAGCAAAGGATATGAACAGACACTTCTCTAAAGAAGATATTTATGCAGCCAACAAACATGAAAAAATGCTCATCATCACTGCTCATTAGGGAAATGCAAATCAAAACCACAATGAGATAGCCATCTCATGCAGGTTAGAATGGCGATCATTAAAAAGTCAGGAAACAACTTGTTGGAGAGGATGTGGAGAAATAGGAATGCTTTTACACTGTTGGTGGAAGTGTAAATTAGCTCAACCGTTGTGGAAGACAGTGTGGTGATTGCTCAAGCATCTAGAACTAAAAATACCATTTGACCCAGCAATCCCATTACTGGGTATATACCCTAAGGATTAAAAATCATTCTACTGTAAAAAGACATGCCCATGTGTGTTTATTGCAGCACTATTTACAATAGCAAAAATTTGCAACCAACTGAAATGGCCATCAATAATAGACTGGATAAAGAAAATGTGGTACATATACACCATGGAATACTATACAGCTAGAAAAAAGAATGAGTTCATGTCCTTTGCAGGGACATGAATGAAACTGGAAACCATGATTCTCAGCAAACTAACACAAGAACAGAAAACCAAACACTACCTGTTCTCACTCATAAGTGGGAGTTGAACAATAAGGACACATGGACACGTTGTGGGTGGGGGGATGGCATCACACACCAGGATCTTTCAGGGTCTGGGGGTCTAGGGGAGGGATAGCATTAAAAGAAATACCTAATGTAGATGACAGGTTGATGGGTGCAGCAAACCACCATGGCACATGTATACCTATGTAACAAACCTACACATTCTGCACACGTACCCCAGAAGTTAAAGTATAATAATAAAAAAAAAAGGTTGTGATAATCAAAAGTGGTTAATTCTGAATAGAATGGAGGAAATGGAAATGGGAGAAGCTGGTTAAGTGAAAATTTAGGTTGTATCTAATGATCCATTATTTTAAATAATAAAGCATATAATATAAAAGTATTGTTTAATTTGAGTGATGGAAATACAGTGTCTAGAATGTAACTGCAGACATACCTTTTGCATCTACAATGCTTACAGACTAGAAAATTCCACATAATAAGTTAAAAAAAAAGAAATGCTATCAGTATTTACTTAAGATGCTTCTATATGCTTTGAGGGAATATCACAGGCTCATCATATAAAAAAACATATTTTCCAACCAAATAATTTTAATTAATCCCTAGAAATAAGACCAAATATATGATAAGTACAACAAGAATTTTAATTAATACCCCTTCTGGTCACATTAAGAAGTTAATTAAAAGTTGATATTCACTTTTTATAACCACTCACATGTTGAATTTATGTTTTATATCACCTGGTTTTTATGACTTATGTATCAGGAGTTGCTCTTGATGCAGAATATGGGGGTTACATTTAGTTCTGTTCACAATATTCACATTGAAATTGACCATTGGAGCCAGAATCCTGTGCTTGCTATGTATTGATTTTTTCAACCCAGGGCCAGCAGTATCAATTCTCATTTTATATAGGAGTAATTGCATTCTTTTTTTATTTAATAGTATTATCTAAGTGAGTCCCTAGGCAATCTCCACATTTCACTCTTTGGGTAAAATTTTGAGTGGAATCTTGGCTAATGAATGCTGTTTGTCTTTCTTTCCCCAGGGAATCTGATTTTTATTTGGAAAATCTTGTTGTCAAGCTTGGGGACTGGGAGCTAGAAACAAACATATTCAGTGTGCAGGTCTTCAGAGACTTCAGACCCTTGAAAAACTCTAGCATGCTTCGGGCAGGAACCTTGGGTCTGGGCCTGGCCAGATCTCTCTACACAGGTAGGTTACACCAAATATTTTACTTCTTTCTAAGTTTCATGTAAAAATCAAGTATCTTTGAGGATTTACCAATTTAAATCAGACTCAGGATTGAAATGATATCTAATTTGTCTTCTTTTCCAAATAACTCAAGTATCTGCCCACTGATTGCTTATTGGAAGTGACAGTGATACAACATAAACAATAGTATCCAGCATCTCTATTGATAGACTAGACAGCTTGAACATTTATACCAAATAATGAATAGTCATTACAGTTAGTATATTCCACCTTAATATGAACACTGATTTTTTTCTGCCTTAGAACCGAGATGTTTAGAGAGAATGCTACACCAAAAGGGAAGTATCTTATGTGTCTCTGATGCATATGATTTGATGTTTCAAAAAAGGGCTTTCAAAAATACTTGACAATGATGAAAATGAGCTTTTATTCTTGCATTCCCTGGGGTGAAAAATCCTAGGATGAAAAGATTCCCTGGTACTAATAGTCAATCTCCCTGATGGATGCCAAAAACTCACGTTGAGATTCAGTGCTTGTCTCAAACCAGACCCATGTCTCAACAAGATTAACACAAATTCCACAGTTAGACATTAATGAAATATAGTCTTGAAATCTTCTCAGAAGCTATTTAAGAGTTAATTTGCAACATAACACCTCATCCAAAGGGTGACAATTTTTACAGTGAAATTGACATTAAAATTATTAACCTCAGGTATATTTTTATTTATTTTATATTGAGATTCATGGTATTGGTAGACCTATAAAATATTTCTTTTCAAAAACTAATTTTAAAAAAACTTTTGTGAAAAATTATAATAGCTCTTAACAGGAAAATTCTAACAAAAAATATTCTAAAAAAAAAAAGAAAACTCAACAGGAGAAAACTGGGTTTGTTCTAAGGAAACTTTATGTCAATGGCATATACTTGCTGAAATAATAATCAACTCCAGCTCTGCCCTCAGCCATGCTTCAGAGGAGGAGAAATTAATAATGGGTAAAGATATTAAATATTTGCAAATTATCTTCCTTCCCCGAGCTAATTGCACAAATTCAAGAGTAGCCAGTAAATAATTGCTATTGCTCATGATGTTCTTTTTTGTTGTTAAATTAAGGGTGTCTATGGAATATAAATGTCAGAATGAACAATGCACTGAGTTGCTTTGTGTGTGGCAGCCAAACAGGAAATATTTTGATCAAAGTAATTTTTAGCACAATGTTTTAAATCATAAGCTTGCCTGCTTATAAGACATGCAGTTCTTTTTAGCGCAGTGGCAAGAAACAAAAGATAGAGGATAGGCGCTACACACAATCAGATCAGTTTCTCAGACTCATATTTGATGTATTTAATAATGTATCATAACAAAGAAACATTGAAGATTTAAGAGGTAATCTGATTGCAAGACAGCATGTTTTGTTTGTTAAAAAAGGAGCTAGATATTGTGTGTCCCAGTTTTTTAAAAAATATGCAGTAGTATAATTCATTTGCTATTTCTGTATTAACTGTAAAAGCACTCAGTAAGGTGGAATGAATTACTGGAATTAAGAACTCACATTGAAAATCATTCAAAGCATGCTAATAACAAAAACTGAAGGTAGCATCCATTTTGCATTCACTTGGTACCAGGCTCTATAAAAACAAATCATTTATGTGCATTATCTCATTTAATGTGGATAATACAAGAATATAATGCTTGGTAAAAATCACCTAGGTATTAATTGGTAGACTAAAACAAACCAATTACATAAACAAAATCACAAAAACAAAATAAAACCATGAAGTTTAGATCAATGTCTACATAGTATTTTCAAGTAATTTTGAGTATTAATTGGTAGACTAACACAATCAATCACAGAAACAAAATCATAAAACCATGCAGTTTGGAACAATGTCTTACACAGTCTTTTTGAGTAATTTTACTTCAATGAGACTCAATTTTCTTATTAGACATGAAAATAATTACCATCTACCTATATTTTAGGGTGCTCCTGCAGAATGAGATAACTATTTCAAAATTCTTAGGATAACTTTCAACACATGTTACTTTTTAAATAAATATTAACAGCCTTCCCCACTCGTCTTTCTATACAAGTATAATAAATCAAAGTAATCTAACTTTAACAAATAAAAGTTGTAAGTAATAAGCATTAAAAAATAAAACAATAACAATTTAAAATGAAAAAGTATAAGCTAGAAAGGGAAGGGAGAGTAGGGCTTCTGGAACAAAATAGTAGAGAAGAGTCTGAGTAAGAGAAGTCACAATGATAGGACAGGACTGGCTTATCTAGCAGAAGTAACGAAATGTGATTGAGTAAAAAGGATTCTGACTTTCAGAATTACACTCAGAGGGAAAAATATTGAAGTGTAGGCCTACTTCTGCACAGCTGAAGCAACATTATGCGGTAGAAATTGATAAAGCAAAATCCAGAATACTGAAAGTGTTTCCCATAGAAATGTTGAAATTCCCAAGAATTATTAATGACAAGTTAGGGGCTGGATAAGTCACCAGTGGAAGCTAGGAAAAAGATAACTGGTGGTCACCCCGTGTCATCAACTTCTTAAGGCTGCTCTCTCTTATCACTGGAAACACAGACAGAAACACACAAATAAAAATTGTAAGTAATAAATTACATGTTCATGTAAGTGTATATATATTAATCAATATCATATGCTAATCTATGTATATAATACATGTGAATATACATTAATATAAAATGCATATCTATTCATCCAATATTATGTGCTAATATAGTTGATAAATGCATAATATTAAGACATATTACAAAACAAATAAATATGTATTCACTCAATATAAACTATATCCAATAGTAAATACATAAATTGCTTGTCCAAACAGTTTTAAGACTCTTTTTTTTTTTTTTTTTTTTGAGACGGAGTCTCGCTCTGTCGCCCAGGCTGGAGTGCAGTGGCACCACTGCAAGCTCCGCCTCCCAGGTTCGCAGCATCCTCCTGCCTCAGCCTCCCGAGTAGCTAGGACTACAGGCGCACACCACCACACCCGGCTGATTTTTCGTGTTTTTTAGTAGAGACGGGGTTTCACCGTGTTAGCCAGGATGGTCTCGATCTCCTGACCTCGTGATCCGCCCGCCTCGGCCTCCCAAAGTGCTGGGATTACAGGCGTGAGCCACCACGCCCGGCCAGTTTTAAGACTCTTAATTGTCTGGGGAGTTTTTATTTCTGAAGTTTATGAAAACATGGGGAGAAAAACAATTAGGTTCTGAAACTTGTAAGAGTTTGTAAAACAAAATAAACTGATTTCAAATGAAATATTTAACAACCTAGCATCTAACAGAAACATCAATGTTATCATCAATTGATTTCTTTCAACTTTTTCAGGTAAAAGATGAAGCCAACAATACAAATGGCTTCAGGAAATCTCACATGGGTGACGGAGTTCATTCTTGTGGGAGTCTCAGATGATCCGGAGCTCCAGATTCCCCTCTTCCTGGTCTTCCTGGTGCTCTATTTGCTGACCGTGGCAGGGAACCTGGGCATCATCACCCTCACCAGTGTTGACCCTCAACTTCAAACCCCCATGTACTTTTTCCTCTGACACTTGGCTATTATTAATCTTTGCAATTCTACTGTCGTTGCCCCTAAAATGCTGGTTAACTTCCTGGTTACCAAGAAAACCATATCATACTATGGATGTGCAGCCCAACTGGGTGGATTCTTGGTTTTCATTGTGGCTGAGATTTTCACGCTGGCTGCAATGGCCTATGACCGCTATGTGGCTATTTGGAGCCCTCTGCTCTACGCCGTAGTGGTGTCTCCAAAGGTGTGTCGTCTGCTGGTGTCCCTCACATACCTTCAGAGTCTTATCACAGCACTGACTGTCTCTTCCTGTGTGTTCTCTGTGTCATACTGTTCTTCCAACATTATCAACCATTTTTACTGTGATGATGTCCCTTTGCTAGCATTGTCCTGTTCTGATACCTACATTCCAGAAACAGCAGTCTTTATCTTTTCAGGGACCAACTTGCTTTTCTCCATGATCGTTGTTCTGATATCCTACTTCAACATTGTTATTACCATTTTGAGGATACGTTCCTCAGAAGGACGACAAAAAGCCTTTTCCACCTGTGCTTCTCACATGATAGCTGTGGTTGTGTTCTATGGGACTCTCCTTTTCATGTATTTGCAACCAAGGAGTAATCATTCATTAGATACTGACAAAATGGCTTCGGTCTTCTACACCCTGGTGATACCAGTGCTGAACCCTCTAATCTACAGCCTCAGGAACAAGAACGTGAAGGATGCACTAAAGAGGTTCCTAGATAACCCATGCCGATCACTCAAACTAATGTAAATGTAAAGCTAAAACTATCTTCCTTTAGTGCTTTTCGTTTTTTCCTGAAAACTGCTGTGTTTTAAAAAAAAGTGTCAAGAAATTTTTAGAAATTCCATTCATTTCAGTGGGAAATGTTTAATTGTTCTTATGTCAACCTCACATACGCAAACAAGAAAACAATATCTATAATTAATAAAAATAATTTGAAAATAATCACAGTTTATAGATAACTTATAGATAAAATGTAAGCCACTAAAGGGTTTTTAAAATAATTTCCAAACAAGGAAAAGAATGCCTGATAGTGCGTGTGGAGGTATGTGGCATCATTTCTTGGAAGGTGGTCAAAACTCAGATCATCCTCCTTGCAAGAGACATCTTTTGTTCAGCTACTAAAAATTATATTTTTAGTTTTGTAGCATTTTATCCATCAAGTTCAACTTTTGTGGAACCATTTTTATCTTGTATTTAAAAATAAATTTTTTATCACAGAAAAACTACACATGGAAATAAGACTTAAGGGAAAACAGGCTAACAAATTTTTAAAGGGGATTTTCTTTTTTCATTGTTCTCAGTTGGTGTGTGCACCCAAAGCTAAATGTTGATGTTCTCTCAAATAAGACACACAACTTTTTTCCATCTCATCATAAAACATTTGTGTAAAGTTAATTGCCTTTGTTATGAAACTATAATACCAAACACAACTACTTTTAGCATTTTCATTCAGTGTAATTTGAAATGAAATTTTATCAGACAAAATTTTTTAAAAATAATATTTTCTTAAAGATGTCCTCCTGTTTTTTTTTAAGTTAGTAGTTACTATGAACTACATCTCTTTGCATGTAAAAGGCTACTAATGCATGATGGAGTGAGGGAGAGTGGCACTTATATGTGAAATAAAGGTAGTGTCTGGAAATAAAGTACAGTTATAATATTTTCAGGAAGGTTAGAAGCATACTCAATCCGGGGACTGTGTGACTCAAATCAATATTTCAACTTCTAACTTTAGCCTTAAAGGAGCAGAATCACTGAAGGCAGGAAAAATCACACTATATGAGGGACATTTCTGGTCTCAAGGGCAACATTAATAATAGTTCTATGGCATTTGCCTTTATGTTACTTATCTGTTTATTTGTGTATCTTTTTCTACTTTATGATATGTGTATTTGGCTTCATCAACTGATATAATTGTAACTGGAGAACTATACTTCCCATTAGAAACAATTCTTTTGGGTCTGGCTAGATGAATAGCATTGGAGTAACAGGGCTAAACTCACACTTGCATTTATACCAATGTTATGCATATTACTAAATTAGTTAAGGTCAGTAAGAAGTACTCCAGTGTTTTCTACCTTTTAATTTGGCTTACACATGTGTATTTTGTAAAAATAATGATGTTGTCTCTTGTATTCGTTTTCTATTGCTACTGTAAGAAATCACTACAAACATAGTAGCTTGGAACAACCCAAATTTATTATCCCACATTTCTAGGGGTCAGAAAGTCAAAGTGGATCTCATGAGGTTAAAACCAAGGTGTTGGCAGTCTGTATTCCTACTGGAATCTCCGGGACAATCTATTTTCTTGCTTTTTCCAGGTTCTAGAGGTTGCCTACAGCAATTGGCTTATGTTCTCCTTCCAGTCAGCAATCTCATCACTCTGACCTCTGCTTCCACTGCTGTGTCCCCTCTGCCTTTCACCCTCTTCTTCCCTCTCTCCCCTGTGATTGTCTTGGACTCACACAGATAATCCATAAAATCCTCCTCATCTCATGATTCTTAATCACATCAGCAAATTCCCTTTTCCATGGAATGTGACATGTTCAGATAGATTCCTGTACCTGTCTTATTCATTAGTGCTCAATGGTATAGTCTTACAAAAGTTGACATGCTATATATCCTTTCTACATTATTTACTATAAAATTTATGTAAACAAAGTATACACATGGCCTTCTTTGAATAAAAAATAAAAATCAGTTGGTTTTAATGTTGCAAAAGTATATACACATATAAACATACACACTCATATACCACTTGTGACACTTTTATTCATATGTGATGAATTAACTCAATCAACCAAGCAGATAAGTTTTCAAAGAAGCAAGATAGAACAATTAAATTGTCAGCTCTGGTCTATATGTTAATCACCCCAGGGGGCATGTCAACCTAAATAACAGAGAGAGGCTCTCTAAAAGAGAATAATATTTATTCAGGATTACAGCATTGCAATGAGAAGGCAAGTGCCATAGTAAATTATGTGCATATTCAGAGAGAAAAAGGAAGACAAAGGGTTTTATAGAGAAAAAAATGAGGAATATTACCTTTGGCTTCAAAAATCAGTAATAAGAGTGATACTAGTCTGAGGTTGGACAGGCAGTTGCTGGAGAGATGTCCTTGGAGAAGTATATATATTTTTAAAGTTGTGATGGCCTTTGTGCAAGGTTGTGATTTTTGCCGTCATTTGTGATACTTTTGCTATCAGGCATACAAGCCTGAGAACCTTCTCTCCATGCCTTCTAAGGCTTCGTCAGTTTGTGTGTATGTGTGTTTGTTGTTTTTTAATTTTTTAAACAGAAGTAACTCCATTTTGATTCTGACAGCTTTCACATTTCCCCCTTTTGATCAAAATATTCTTCCAAAAGCACCACTAGTAAGTCATACTGTCATTAAGTTTTGATGTTTCTTGGTGCCAAAATAAAAATAGACTTGTTCTGCATTCCTGATCCCATCTCACATTGGAGAGAGTGCTTACTGACTGTGAGTTAATGACAAAACCCCATTAGCCATATTTGAGCAACATGAGAGTTTTGAAGGAAGAGACTCACAGGCTAAGTCTACCTGGAATTCATTATTAAGTTCAGTTCTGTCTGTTTCATAATCTTTTTGCCATCATCTGAAAGTGCTGAGTAAGCATTGTTTTGTTAGAAATTGTATTTCTGGAAAAAATTCAACGAGTAGCACACAAAGTTTAAAAGTGGAAAACACAAAGTAAAATTAACAGTAGTATGAAAGTCCCAATTTGTATAATAGTTTTGATCCTAGGCTTAAAGACAACCAATTGAATAAATCAAATGCCATTTATGCTGCCAAATGAAAAAGGTAGGCCTGAGAATAGTGAGCCCCATTATAGAGTTTTATTCTGACATTGTGGGAAAAGCTGCCTACGGCATTAAGACATCAACTTTTTGTCATGGTTTGTAGTTTGACTATAACTGATTACAATATCAGGTGGTTTGGTAAACATTTTCTGTGGCCCGTATATGAGGCAGGAGGCTTGTTCCTTAAAATTTATCTAGTTTCAGCTTATAGGGCTTTTGGAACAAAAAAGTTTTTGTTTTCAGTAATTCTATAGAAGAAAGTTGTATTGGGAGAATCTAGAAGACTTGAAAATTTAGTGTAGTCTACAGGTAAATAACAAGAACTTAAAAACAATGCAAAGTGCTATAACCGAATAATGGATATATTATACCTTTGCTTTAGAAACATGACTTTTTCTCTGCCTTGATCACCTAAAAATCTCAGATTTAAAAACTTCTTAAGCTAGAAAGCCAAACCAAGGCAGACCTTGGATTTTGTTTACATACTTACAATCTTAAGGTTCCTAGGCCTGTCAAGAAGTGATAATTTTTACTTAATTCCCTGTAAGGCAGGGAGCTGTTGAAATCTGGTATTTTATGCAAATTTTCAAATATGACATATTTTCAGTCAAATCCATGGTAATATGACCAATATTTCTAATTGTGTCCTCCTGTAAAGATAAATCAGATTTTTATTGAAATTATGTTATTATATAGATTGTCATTAAAAGTAAGAATACTTATGAATAGTTTTTGAATTTTCAAGGAATTAAATTGGGAGAGAAATCAAATGCTTTCAATTTTTTCACAAAATTATCCTTTACCAAATTTGTGTAAATTATAGCTTATGAGAGAAATTTTTCTTAAATCTTGAAAACAAACCATTTAAGTAAAGAATCAATGTTTTAAACAACGTTTTAAATAAAATAATAAAAACTATTTTCATCAGTTATTTTTATATTGCTTGATCTTGATTAGCAGTTTTATGAACCCATAAGTTTTATGAACCTATAAGTTTTTTAAATCAGAGTTCTAGACATTTTTATTTATTTCATTGCCTTTAAGGTTGTCATAAATCTACTCAAGAATACTTGTTAAAGTCTTTTCCATGAAAGGCAATTTTGGATTATAGTTAATTGTAAATACTTTTAGAGAAGAATTTAAAGCAATAATTGTGAATGACAAAAAGTTAGAATAGTCATGGATAAAAATCTGATGAAAGTTTTCAATTGACAAGGAAATTTATTTATTATTACCTATTACATTTTAAAATATCAATCAGAATTATGACTGGCTGAATCACATCAGGGCTATCAGACTTTTATAAATGTGACACAACTGGCCGGGCGCGGTGGCTCACGCCTGTAATCCCAGCACTTTGGAAGGCCAAGGCAGGTGGATCACGAGGTCAGGAGATCAAGACCATCCTGGCTAACACAGTAAAACCCCGTCTCTACCAAAAATACAAAAAATTAGCCAGGCGTGGTGGCGGGTGCCTGTAGTCCCGGGTAATCGGGAGGCTGAGGCAGGAGAACTGCGTGAACCCGGGAGGTGGAGCTTGCAGTGAGCCCAGATGGTGCCACTGCACTCCAGCCTGGGAGACAGAGTGAGACTCCGTCTCAAAAAAAAAAAAAAAAAAAAAAGTGACACAACTGAAAATCATAAAATGCTCACATCAATAATACATCCATATAAATATAACTTTAAAGAAGATTAAGCTTATCAACCAAAATTATGACTGCTAACATATTAGATTTTCATAAGTTTATGTAGATTTTAAAACAAGTATAGATAACATGCCCCTGAATGTAACTGAAAGAAGATTTAACATCACTTAGTATTTGACAATGTTTCCCCCTTATACTTTACTAAATAAAACTAATCATTTAGCAAGACATATGTTCTTGACATATGGGCCCAAGTGGAAAATTTCAAAGTTAATTATAGATCAGAAAATCTTCATTTTAGAGCCAAGAGCCCCATTTGCATGTGTGGAGAAGCAGTGGCACCAGCGCAGTGGTGCGAGACACTCTCACCCCCCTCAGGAGACTTAGGGACGCACTGCCTCTGTCACCTGCTCAGCTCCCTGCCCGGGTGAGGAGGCCATCTTGTGTGGTTGAGTGTCTTGAGCTGAGGGCAGCAACTATGACTGAGTTGCTATTGGTGATAACAAAAGCCTCAGCAGGTGGGGAGGATGAAAGGTAGCTGGATGGAGCTGGGAGATGGGACACCACACAATATTAAACAGTTGAAGAGAAGGAATCGGGTTATCTTTTCAGTCAGCTACAATGGTAAGTTCTACAAGGATGTGATGGAGGTGGTGAACGATCAAAACTTGCCTATTTCAGTGATGTTCCTGTAGGTGCAGTGTACTCTAGGGTGGCTCATTCACAGAATCAGAAAAGACTTTACATCATGACACTTGGATATCTGGCACCTTACCAAAGGCTAGGAATAGGAACTACAATGTTAATTCATGTCTTAAACATGTGAAAAAGATGGCACTTTTGACATCTATCTGCATGTCCAGATCAGCGGTGAGTCGGCAATTGACTTCTACAGGAAGTTTGGCTTTGAGATTATGGAGCCCAAGAAGAACTACTATAAAACCGCAAAGCCTGCAGATGATCATGTCCTGCAGAAAAACCTCAAATTACCTTCTGGTCAGAATGCAGATGTGGAAAAGACAGACAACTGAACAAATTACCTTCTCAAAAGGAGAAAGAAGGAAAACTGAAGGCAATAATAACCTGAAAATCACGTGCAGTGAGATATAGCAAAAATTGAACTTCAAAATATGAATCTAAAATACTTTAAGAGGAGAAATCTACCTATAGAAGTAACATTCTCATTTTAAATAAAAAAATACAGCATTTCCAACCAGAAATTAGGAAAATTAATTGGATCTCAGAAAGAAATTTGGCAGAAATAGATAGTGTTTGCAGTTTAGAAAATGACTGTTACAGAAACAGATTTCAAAATTAAAAATCAAAACTTTTTGCAATTTTATTAAAAGCAAACCAACATTTCAATAAAACCATATTGTTTTACCATAAGGGACAAAGATTTAGTTTTATATTAGTTTATTTAATACTGAATAACTTATAAATATATTTATACATTTAGTTATAGAGAACTTGATTACAAACAAAATTTATTTTATAAATTCCTCTTTAAAATTATTTTCATGATTTATTCAGACCATTGTTGACATGTTTGGAATTTTAATTTTGTCCTGTGCTTGCTCCTTTTAAAATAAGCATTTTACTTTAGTACAAAAATTATCACACGAGATTTTTTTTCTACAAAATTTTTTAACCTTCTTTGCCAAAAATACATTTTCTTACCCATAACTTTTGTCACATCTCTCTCAACTATTTACTAGTTTTTGTCTTGTTTTAATTTTCTTCCTAAATCTATTTGTTGAAATAATCTTTAAAAAACCTCTGAATTATGCAATATTATTTTTAAAAGAACATATTTTAGGTTTGTAAATAGTTTTTTGTCAAAAAATCTTGTTTTTAATACATTTTCTATACAGAATTATATTGATTTTGACTGTTGTTGTTTTATTTATTTTTATTTTTATTTTTTGAGACAGAGTCTCGCTCTGTTGCCCAGACTGGAGCGCGGAGATGCGATCTCGGCTCGTAGCAGCCTCTGCCTACCAGGTTCAAGTGATTCTCCTGTCTCAGCCTCCTGAGTAGCTGGGATCACAGGCATGTGCCACCACGCCCAGCTAATTTTTGTATTTTTAGTAAAGACGGGGTTTTTCCATGTTGGCTAGGCTGGCCTTTAATTCCTGACCTCAGGAGGTGGCCTCCCAAAGTGTTGGGATTACAGGCGTGAGTCACTGTTTCTGTCCCAGAATTATATACATATTAATTGGAATTTTAACTCTTAGCAACCTAATTTCTACCAAGCAGTGTTAAACCATCTGTCATTTATCAGTATTTTATGGAATGGAAGCCATTTTATATATTTTGAAACATGTTTTCCTATAGCATAATTTTTGTATGTACTGATAGACTCTAGTATATTTACTATTTCTATATAATTTAAGAAACCATGAATAAAAGTATTTTGTTTAACAATCAGTTTGATTTTCTAAAATTTGCAAATGACCCAGTTATTTAGTGAATATTTATTACTTAATTTAACATAACATAACTTTACAATTTTAAATTACATGAAAAGTTTATTTATAAGCATTTATCTCATTTACTTAAATTTTATTTAACTTTAACAGTTTACCTGTGTTATCTATGAGAATTGACATATTAAACAAAACTAGAATATTTTTAAATTATTTTCCTATCAATTATTATTATAGCCTGTGACTCTCAGGTGTTCACTTAAGAACTTTAATTATATGAGTATTTTATCAATAATTCAAAAAATACAGTGGTTTTCATTAAACTGACAATATAAAATTACCCTTATGTATCAAAGAGTTACAGAAAGATTATTCTGGTTTAGGCTAGGTTTATAGTTTTACAACCTGTGTGTCAAATCTTGACACTTTAAACCATCTAGCCCAGACAAGTATAAAAGTGTCTGACCAGTAAATTCAGGCAGAAATGTATGTTTCCAATCCTGAAGATTTTTTTTCTTACTTTACCAATAATTTTAAAATCAGCTAATTTATTAAAGATATACCTATGTCACATGAACTAAAAGGCATTTGGTTAATTACTATATCATATAATTTTATATGAGTGCTCATTTATTTAAGCCAATTTAAATAAAATTTCATAATGAATGTCTGGCCAACTGCACTAGGTTTTACCATATAGGTACAACATACAACAATATATTTACATATCAATAAGTGTACCTAAACACATATATACACACAGTGATTTTATAGTCTTTATTTTAGTATTTGGTCATGAGACAGTAAACTATAGAAACTCACTGGTTTATAAAAAAACAGTTGGATTCAAATTATATTTTTTATAAAATTGGCACCTCCTCACATAACTAAATTTTATTTGCCTGATAGGCAATCTAATGAAGGCTGTCGACCAAAATTTTGTATAAAGCAGCACTTTCCATAGCAATTGGAATTTTTTTACACTATTTTTTCCTTTTTTCTCTTTCTTTTTAATTTTAAGTAAATTTAGGATTAAATATTTAAAACTTACATTTTTGCTAGGACTGGCTGAGTTGTATAAGAAAAACAAATTTAAGAGTAGCCTTGAATCTGTCTTGTGTTTCTTGACCAGACAAATATTAGCGGGAAACCATTTTAGTAAGTCTGGATTTTTTTCCTTTTTTTTTTTTCTTTTTCCTTTTGGCCCCTGATTGCAGACAATGTGAACTTTTATCTTATTTAACAAAGACATCTTATATTATTTCCCTGATCTTAACAGTTTGACCTGTTTGATCTGTTAGCCAAACTTTTATAAACTTTTATTTAGTTTTTTCTTTTACACTATTAATCCTTTAACTAACTATTCTACTACCCTAATTGTTAGTCAAACACAGTTACATTTATATTTCCAAGTTACCATGAAGCTGTTGTAGCTTGTAAAGCCATTAATTTGAAAATTCTTTAAAATCTATTTTTTTAAAAATAGTCTTGGCTGGAATGCCATAATAATTGAGTTTTGGCTTAACACTAATACAAAAGTCAGCAGATTTAAAATAGGCAGAAAAGAAAAATAGAGAAATAGGAAACCTTGACAAATTTACATGTTAATTCTATAGTTTCAGGGCTTTATTTTTTTAAAAGGGTTTGACTAATGACCATTTGAACTTTTAATTTTTCTCAATGTAATTTTCCCATCAATTAAACAATGTATATAAGAATGGACCATATTATATTGCTGGCTGTAATCCTAGAAAACCTGGCATGCCTCAATATTTGAAAATAACTTTTTTTTTTATTAATCTCTTGAGAGAAAAGAGAAGCTTATAAATCCTGTTAGAAAATGTCAGGAGTTTTCAGGACATAGGCATGGGCAAGGACTTCATGACTAAAATACCAAAAGCAATGACAACGAAAGCCAAAATAGACAAATGGGATCTAATTAAACTAAAGAGCTTCCGCACAGCAAAAGAAACTACCATCAGAGTGAACTGGCAACCTACAGAATGGGAGAAAATTTTTACAATCTACTCATCTGACAAAGGGCTAATATCCAGAATCTACAAAGAACTTAAACAAATTTAGAAGAAAAAAATCAAACAACCCCATCAAAAAGTGGGCGAAGGATATGAACAGACACTTCTCAAAAGAAGACGTTTATGCAGCCAACAGATGCATGAAAAAATGCTCATCATCACTGATCATCAGAGAAATGCAAATCAAAACCACAATGAGATACCATCTCATGCCAGTTAGAATGGCGATCATTAAAAAGTCAGGAAACAACAGGTGCTGGAGAGGATGTGGACAAATAGGAACACTTTTATGCTGTTGGTGGGACTGTAAACTAGTTCAACCATTGTGGAAGACAGTGTGGCGATCCCTCAAGGATCTAGAACTAGAAATACCATTTGACCTAGCCATCCTGTATATACCGAAAGGATTATAAATCATGCTGCTATACAGACACATGCAGACGTATGTTTATTGCGGCACTATTAACAATAGCAAAGACTTGGAACCAGCCCAAATGTCCATCAGTGATAGACTGGAGGAAGAAAATTTGGCACGTATACACCTTGGAATTCTATGCAGCCATAAAAAAGGATGAGTTCATGTCCTTTATAGGGACATGGATGAAGCTGGAAACCATCATTCTGAGCAAACCGTCGCAAGGAGAGAAAACCAAACACTGCATGTTCTCACTCATAGGTGGGAACTGAACAATGAGAACACCTGGACACAGGAAGGGGAACATCACACAGTGGGGCCATTTGTGGGGTTGGGGGAGAGGGCAGGGATAGCATTAGGAGATATACCTAATGTAAATGACGAGTTAATGGGCGCAGCACATGAACATGGCACATGTATACATATGTAACAAACCTGCATGTTGTGCAAGTGTACCCTAGAACTTAAATTATAATAATAATAATAATTTAATAAAGAAAATGTCAGGAGTTTAGATCAGTGTTTTAGTTGGTGGTGTTGCCTTAGTGACTTTTAATGAGCCATCTCGTGTCCAGCATTTAGGCTGTATATTTTTACTCTCAGAAAACTTTCAGGAACAAGCAAAACAAATAAGTCAAATCATTTACATATATAAAATAATAAATTCAAAAGAAACCAAGATAAGGGTGTTGTCAAAATTTTTAGCCCATATGTGCAGATCAAACAAAATGTTAAATTAGACGTGTAGAGAGAACCCAAAATAAATTCACCTGTAAAGACATGCCTCAGAGACAGAATGTAAATACCGTAGAAACCAGAGTACTCAACCCAGAAAGACACTTGTATTTATACAAAAAAACATAACAGAAAAGACAAAAAGTATTTAATATCCCAAGAGGCATCCTTGTTTTCAGGCTGCCTTATGGAAACCTATGCTATCAACTTATTCACACATATAGTATCAACTGACATGATAGAGGCATCAGTGTTTTCTAAAAAAGAAAGAATGATCTTTTTGATAAATGGCATTAGACAATTTATATATCTATTTTGAATTAAAAAATCTGAGCATCTACCTCATTCCTTATTTAAAATGAATTTCAAATGGTTTAAAGATCTAAATATAAAATACAAATAATAAAGCTTTTAGAAGAAAGCATGAGGGACATCTTTGTGATATTGGAGTATGTACAAAATTTTAAACAGAATAAACAAAGCAATAATCATATAAAATTAAAGATTAATCAATTTTAAGAAGTCCTTTTCATCAAAATTAACAGTGTCAAAAGGGCAATCCTTATAATAGGAGAGAACATTTTATTACACATGCTTTATCAAATAATATACATGTGTATCTGACAGAGGACTCATGCAAAATGTGAAAATAATTCTTACAAATCAATACATAATTGATATGAAAATCAATGTAAAAGTGGAGAAAAGACATGAACACTTTTCAAAAGAAAATATGTAAATGACCATTGCACATATGAAAAGCTTCTCAATGAATTCATGATTAGGATAATGAAACTCGAAACGACAATGATACCCACACCATAGAGAATGGCTAAGTCTCGACAAGGATAGTGAACAATCATGACTATTATGTCTTTCTCATTGGAGTGCACGTTGCTATAACTACTCTGTAAACTCATTTGGAAGTATTTACTAATGCTGAACATGTGTATATTATGACATAGCAATTCCAGTCTAAGAAATATACCCAAATGGAAATACATGTTTATGTTAATTGAAACATGCAATAGAATGTTCATATCATCACTATTCATAAAACCTCTAGAATAATGAATAACTAATTTGTGGTGTATATATATATATATATATAAAATGTTCAATTGTGCACAGAAATGAGAATGAGCAATGTAGAACTACTCGTCACAATATATTGAATGAAAGAACCCAGGAATGGAAACATAACATGCATAGGATTTTATTCATATAATGTAACAAAAATAGCTGTACGTTATGTTGTTAGAAGTCAGAATACTAGCTGTTCATTCTTTGAGTGTGTTGGGGGAAGTTCATGGAGGAAAAGAGAATGAAGGATTCTTATGGGGTCCTGACAATGTTTTATTTTGTTGTTATTGTTGTTTCTGTTTAATCTGGATTCTGGTTACTTAGGTTAAGTTTGTAAAACTTGAGTTAGAAATTAAGTTTGTAAAAATTTATTTATGATTTGTACATTTGCTTATGTGCTTATATGTATTTTCTACTTCAATAATAAATCTAAAACACCACAAAGTACAGAAAAAACAGCTACACACTTATTACTTTCTCATGTAAATTTTTGAAATAATGCAATCGGCAGTGTTTAAGCACTTTATTGTATCCTTAGCTACAAAGCCATAAAAATCCACTATATTGGGAAAGAGATATTAAGAGTTACAAGAAAAAAAGTTATGTCCTACAGATAGAAGTTTTGATTCCAGATCTCTGTGTTGCAGTAGAGAAAATATAACCAAGAATAGTGGTGGAAAGGTAACTAACATAACTCTACTTGTTTGGAAATATAAGCATATTCTATTATTAGCAGATATCCCATTGGCTTTGTTTGAAGCTTCCAAATGCTTTAGCCATAATTAACAAATTGTGTTCCATCTCCTCAGGGAGAGTCTCAAAGGAGGAAAGAAACCCATAAATTTTTCTTACTGGGTTACTTTAGGGACACATGGAAAGCACAGAAAGATTCCTTATTAGAGTTTAGTAGACTACACCTGTTTCTGTGACTACACCTCAGAGTTCCAGTTACTCTTCATGGTCCTGTATTCCTTTATCTTTAATTTCTAACAACTGATCTAGGTGATTTAGCCACAGCCTTAACAATCTGCTTCTAAGTGAAGTTTCTGAGCTAGTGCAATGTTGCAGCCATCTTCAGTATAATCTTTGGTGAAAGCTAGATAATGACTTCTCTGTAGTTAGCTGATATTTCTTTGAATAGTAAAAACAAAAAGCAAGAACTCAAGTTCTGAAAAAGAAGTTAGTGTTGTTAGCAAGCTCCCACTTTGGTTCCTAAGATTTTTATGATGATTTCCAACCAAGATGTCAAATATGATCTTGTGATTTGTAGTTAATTGGATTTGTTTCAGAACTTTAACCTCAAGTAACAGATTTGCATGATGATTTCCAGTTACCTCTTAATTAAAGAAATTATGTCAGTATTTTTATGATTTTTGCATTTTCTCTTTCAGAGGCATCATGCATTGTTCATGTGTTTCCCAAATTTACCAGTATTATTGAAGGAGTCAATGTCATTTGCAAAACATTACTTTTAGTTGGAGATAAGACCGAAGCAAAATACTAAAGCATCTATTTTACTACGTAGTGCCTCCATCACATTATAATATCCGATTTGCAAGAGAACAGATCATCCCCTGTACCTATAAGGGTTAGAAGAGTCTTTGAAATGCCATAAAATTGTCCCTTGCATGATCAAATGCACATCTAGTGGAGATAAGAACTAAAATTAAAACCTGCACAAATACAGGTACAAGCAAAGAATAGTCCTTTAAAAATTACAAAGCAGCAATATATATTTTCCTTAAAATTAAGGTGTCTTTTCCATTCCTTATTTATTTATTGGCTATTTCTAAAACTATTTTTTCCCACTCAAAATTCACTTTGATGTTTAAACAAATGTATACAAATGCATATTTTCTTGGTCTGTCATTGCGTAATACATTTATTGTTAACTATTTTAGTGTTGAAGGTCGTTATTTGTGGAGTGGGGACAGTGGCAGGGCCAGGGAATGAGCTAGCTTCTCTAATCTCTATACCTGGTCTAGTTTCATAGTGAAGGTCCAAGGCTAAGATATGTCCAAGTGTGATTTTTTATATGTTTAGAGAGTCTAACAAAATGAAATTTTCTTGAAAAAAAATGTTTAAATGTCCAGAACTAGGTCATTTTCAATAGTCACATAAACTCATGAAAATGTAAATAAAATCAAGTAAAACGAGTTTAGTGCTTTACAGGGAACTCTAAAGATAAGTTAAAGAAATAGCTCATATGTTTTCTCATACATAGGGAAACTAGTATTTACTAGCATAGATGTAGAAAAGAACATATTTGCAACCTCTCACTTATGCAGCCAAACATGGGTCATACTACTACTTTTCATATCCATTAGTATATACATAAAAAGCATTGTCTCCAGAAAATTAATTCAGTTTTCCTGAATAAGCCAAGAATGTTAGTCTATAGTGGGTAGGAAATTATATTTAAAAAACCATTGTTTTATAAGTCATCATTAATGTGAAATAATTGTAGATTGCTTATTACTATTGTAAAGTTCCCATAGAAATATATGTTTTTATTTGCAGGGTAAGTGCGATTCAAAGAATGCTGATGCTGCTGTAATTTCACAATGGCCAAGCAATTTTCTTTTATTAAATGAAAAACATGAATTCGCTGTTCAAAAATGCGTTACTCAAGGAAGTAGTGAACAGTAGTATGTAGTCACAATAAACATTACTCAATTATCTTTTATAAATTGAAATCCAATTTACATAAAACAGCATGTATCAAAAGTTAGTTATAATTAAATAATAACATGTTTGTTATCAAGATGAGTAACATAAAGGTAAATGAAAGCAAAATAGTCCTAATGTGAAATCATTTTTTATTGGAGTAAAATAAATGTCACATAAATTTACATAATATAAATTCAACATTTAAAAGTTTACAAGTTAGTGCCATTTAATGCATTCAAAATATTGTATAACCATTACCACTATCTAGTTAAAAAATATTTTTGTTACTCTGAAAGGAAACTCTTGTACCCATTAAGCAATTGCTATACCTTCTGCCCTACCTTCTAGCCCTGGAAACAATCTGCTTTTTACCTATGTGGATGAGCTTTAATATTCTGGAAATTTTATGTAAATTTAATTATACAATACTCCTGACAGTTTTTATTTATCATAATGGTTTCAAGGCTTATCTATATTTAGAATGTATCAATACTTCATTCTTTTTATGACTGATTAATACTCCATTGAATGGATATACTACAATTGTTTATTTATCAGTAGACGGACAGTTGGGTTATTTCAGTCTTTGGCTATTGTGAATGCTGCTGTGAACTTACATATGTTTCATAATGATAATTCTATGTGTAACTTAATGAGTGATTGTCAAACTCTTTTCTTAATAGGTGTGTCATTTTACATTCCCAAAGGCAATGTATGAAAGTACAAATCTCTCCACATTCTTGCCAGTATTTTTAATTTTCCTTTTTATTTATTTTTTATTACAGCCATCCTAGTGGTTACCAAGGAGTATCTCCTTACGGTTTTGATTGTATTTCCTTAATGAGAAATGGTATTGAACATCTTTTCATGTGCTTGGTGGCCATTTGTATATCTTCAGATCTTCAATGAGAAATGTCTGTTCAATTTCTTTGCCCAGTTTCATATATTTTATTATAAATTGACATATTAAAGTTGTATATATACATTGGGTACAAAGTTAGTTTATTATTATTTATGTATCCAATGCTGAATAATTAAATCAAGCTAATTAACATACCCATCACTTCAAATGTTTTTTATTTTGCGTGGTGAGAATATTTGAAATGTAGTGTTTTAGCAATTTTGAAATATGCAATGCAGTATTATCAACAGTCACCATGCTATTCACCAGATCTCAGCAAAACTTACTTCTCCTCTCTAATTGAAACTTTGTACACTTTCACCAATATCTCCCCATTTTTTCCTTCCCCAGGTGGGTAACTGCCATTCTACTCTCCGCTTCTGAGTTCTATTGTTTTAGATTCCATATATAAATACACCAAACAGTTTTTGTCTTCCTTTGTCTAGCTTATTTACTTAGCATAACATCCTCCAGATTCATTCATGTTGTTGGAAATGACAGAATTTCCTTCTTTTTAAAGGTTGCATAGGATCCCATTGTTTATACATACCACATTCTCTTTATCCTTTCACCTGTCGATGGAAACAGTTTGTTTCCATATCTTGGCTATTGTGAATTGTGCTGCAATAAACATGAGATTTCAAATCCTTTGGATATATACCCAGATTTTAAATCCTTTGGCTATATATCCAGAAGTGGGATTGCCAGGTCATATGGTAATTCTATCTCTTCTATATTTATTTTTGAGGAACCTTCCTACAGTTTTTTTATAATGGCTGTACAAATGTACATTTCCACCAACAGTGTGACAGGGTTTTCTTTTCTCCACATCTTTGCCAACACTTATTATCTTTCATCATTTTTACAATAGTCTGACAGGTGTGGACTGATATCTCATTTTTAACTTGCATTTCCATAATGATTAATGATTTAGAACATTCTTTTTTCAAATACCTCCAGATCATTTGTAACTCTTTTTTCTTTTTTTGAGAAATGCCTGTTCAGATCCTTTGCCTACATATATATATAGCTATTGAGTTTGAGTTTCTTATCTATTTTAGATATTAACCCATTATCAGATGCATGGATGCAAATATTCTCTCTTCATCTGTAGCTTGTCTCTTGACTCTGGTAATTGTTTCCTTTCACATACAGAAGCTTTTTATTTTCATGCATTCCCACTTGTATATTTTTGCTTTTATTGCCTGAGCTTCCAGGGTCTTATCCAAGCAATCACTGCACAAAGCAATATCATAGAGATTTCCCCTATGTTTTCTTCTAGGATTCTTATAGTTTCGGGTCTTACAGTTAAGTTTTAATCCATTTTGAGCTGGATTTTGCATATAGTGTGAAACAAGGGTCCAATTTTATTCTTCTGCTTATGAATGTTAAGTTTTCCTAACACACTTTGTTGAAGAGACTGTTTTTTTCCACTGGGTACTCAACTCTAGAATCTCTGTTCCATTGGTTGATTTGGTCTATTTGTTAGTACCATGCTGTTTTCATCACCAAAGCTTTGTAATACAGTTCAGAATTTAGCAGTGTGTTGCTCTCAGCTTTATTCTTTTGCTCAACATTGCCTGAGCTATCCAGGATTTTTTATATGTAGTTCCATATAAATTTTGGGATTTTTTGGTTATTTCTATAAAAAGTGACACTACAATTTTGATAAAAATCATATTAACTCTGTAGATCACTTTGGGTAGTATTAACACTTTAACAATATTGATTCTTCCAGTTCATGAATACAGAATATTTTCCCTTTGTGCATTTTTGAATTGACTTGCTTATCTTTTGTTGTTGAATTGTAAGAATCCATTCTAGATACTATACTCTTACTAGATATATGATTATAATTTTTTAAAGTTATAGAGGTTGTATTTTTTATTCTTTGATAATGCCCTTTGATATACACAATCTTGTTTCTTTTTACAATTTTGATAAAGTCCAATTTATCAATGTTTTCTACTTTTGTTGCTTGTGCTTCTGGTGTCCTAACTAAGAAAACTGTCAGGAACTCAGCTGAGTTTGGAGAAAGAGAACTGTACTGCTAGATGTTGGTGCAGCTAATTAAGGCAATAAGCCATAAATGAAAGAGTTAATCAGTTACTGCAATGACATAAGCAAGATTTTAAGACCTGAGAAAGCACCAACTCCTCCTGTTTCTTTTCTTTCATGGAATTGGCACATTGGTCTAGCATCCAGTGGATCAGTAAAGACATGGAGATTGTCTCACTTCTGAGGGAGTCCCAGAAAAATAGGCACTGGCAGTTTTATGGACATTGAGGTGTGTGTATACAGGGAGGGGAAATTAAAAGAGTGACGATGAGGTCTGGAAAATAATGAATAGCGGAGAAAATTATCCTTAAAATTTCCCCTTCCTCTTCTCATAGAGGGTCTCTCGGCATAGGCACCTGGAGAAAACCTCTGCTCTAAGACAGAGTCATAGGAATAAAGGTGCCAGGTTAGAAATTGAAATACAGTCATGGGTGGCTTAATGATAGTAATATATTCTGAGAAATGTGTCATTATATGATTTGTTTTTTGCAAAATATCATACACTGTACTCACATAAACCCAGGTTGTATAGCCTACAATACACACAGGCTATGTGGTATAGCCTCTTGCTCCTACAAACCTGTACACCATGTAACTGTACTGAATTCTGTAGGCAACTGTAACACAATGGTAATTATTTCTGTATCTCAACGTATCTAAACAGAGAAAAGGTACAGTAATCATATGGTATAAAATATTAAAAATAGTATATCTGTACAGTACACGTACTAAAAAATGGAGCTTGCAGGAGTGGAAGTGGCTCTGGGTGAGTCAGTGAGTGAGAGGTGAGTGAATGTGAGGGCCTAGTACATTACTGTAGAATAGTGCAAACTTTATAAACACTATATACTTAGACCACACTAAATTTATAAAAATTATTTTTATTTCCTTAATAATTACCTTAGCTTACTGTAAGTTTTTAACTTTATAACCTTTTAAATGTTTTAAACTTCTTGACTCTTCTGTAATAACTTAGCTTTAAACACACATTGTATAGCTGTACAAAATTTTTTTAATATCCTGGGTCTATATGCTTTTTTTCCTATTTTTAACCTGTTTGATTTTTTTTTTTTTTTACTTTTCATGCAAAAATGAAGACACACACACACATTAGCCTAGACCCACACAAGGTCAGGATCATCAATATCACTGTCTTCAACCATGTCTTTTCCCACTAGAACATCTGGAGGGGCAATAACATACATGGAGCTGTCATCTTCTGTGATAACAATGCTTTCTTTTGAAATACCTTGTGAAATCTTACTGTTAACTGTAGTCACCCTACTGTGCAATGAACCCCCTGGAAACATACAACCTCACAAAACTGTACTATTTGATTCTGTTCTCATATTATCTTCTGAATTTTTGAACTCCTAAATTTATAATAACCTAATTTGAATAATGCCTACTGAAGATCAATAGTACCTAAAAATTTTTAGGCAGCTCTACTATCAAATTATCTATTTCACACATTGCATGTTTATAAATTGTGCACAAATTAATAAAAATTTGTAATTATTATCTTATGAATTTATATTTAAATCATATAAAAGGGCAAAATAATGAGGAGTTAGGAACTCCCAAAACAGTAACACTAGATTTTATACCACCTGTTTATTCATCTGTTTAGTTACTTTTACTGTTTTTTTTTTTTTTTAATTTCTCTGTATGGCTTCTAGTTGGTGTCTGGTTTGTCCTTTTATTTCATCCTAAAACACTTTTTATATTGTTGATTGCAGGGCATGTTTGCTAGTGACAAACTCCTTCAACTTTTGTTTGTGTCTTTATTTCAGCTTCAATTTTGAAGAATTGTTTTGCCAGATATACAATCGTTAGTAGATTTATTTTTCTCAGCACTCTACCTTCAGGCTTTCATAGTTTCTTATGAACAGTTACCTATTAATATTATTAAGAATACCTTTTACATGATAAGCCACCTCTTTCTTGCTACCATTAAGATTCAAAGTGCTTTCAACACTTTGATTGAAATATGTTGCACTGTCAGTCCCTTTGAATCTATCCTCTGTTGGGTTTATTAAGCTTCTTTGGATGTGTATATTCATATCTTTCATCAAATTTGTGAATTTTTTGTCATGATTTCTCCAAGTGTTCTTTCTTTCTCTTTCCCTTCTTTCCTTCCAGAACTCTCATTATGCTTATGCTGATAAGTCAGTTAAAGTCCTTGTCTAGTAACTCCAGTTTCTGGGCTTCCTCAAGATAGTTTCTATCCATTTTTTTTAATCCTTTTCTGAATAAAACATATTTTCTTGTGTCTTGGCTTACATATTTATTTTTCATTTAAAGTTTAACTTTTTGAGTATTTTAATGAGGTTTCTTCAGAAACCATGTATTATTTCCTCTACAGGGTTTGCCTTGTTGTTGTGGACCGTAGTTTTGATTTTTTTTTCTAAATTGTTTTTAGAAATTATTTTTTCCTAAATTTACTTTTCTAATTTTTTTCTTAAAGAAAATTCTTTGTTATGCATGTTTAGTAAAGAATATTCTGTCAATTTGCCTGCCAGTGATTTTTCAGAGGTATCACTAAATTTCTAGAGCAAAAATTTTTAAAAAGAGAAAGAAAATAAATTTCTCATATTTTTTAACACTGACTCTGTTTGGGATAGTCCTTAAACTCTTAGCCAACCATTTAAAAACTTGCCTTAGCCTTCACTTCCTGCTTTTGAAGTTGAAACATGAGTGGAGCCTAAAGTTCAGCCAGAGTTGAAATCTTAGGGTCTTATCAGATTTTTTTCTGAGCAATTTTGTAGACCTAGACGTGTTTAGCTCTCAAAATTCTCTGAAGCTTTTCAAAGCTTTTATTCACCCATTTATCTCCTTGCTTAGCCTCTTGTTTTTTGGGCTTTTTGATCTATATGCTGTTTGACTTGTCTGTTATTTCCTTTCCCCATGCAACTGCAGTTAGGATATTTGCCTTTAAATAGTTTCAACAAAGTCCTATCAGGAGACTATTCCAGCTCCAATCTCTGAGTGGATCCTTCATGGAACCACTGGATGGGTTAAAACACAACTACAATTCCTGCAGAGCAAGGCTTATTTTGCTCCCTTGGTCACCAGGCAGCCACACCATGATGTGGGTCACCATCTTCATGGCTGCCACGGTGCTGAGGAATGGGCTTGGTAGGCAGATGAGTTGAAACATGACAACAATATCAACCAAAATCTAGATTTTAATAATCTTAAAAATGTAGATTCCGATAGTTTTGTTATCTTAATTTTGTTGCTTTAATAGAGATATACAGTTTTAGAGTTTCCTACTCTACCAAAAAGTGATGTCTATCTATGATAGGTATTATATAAATAATAATATCTATGTCATACAACATTGTCAACTCAAATGTATTGATTACAAGGAGTGATATATATATATATATATATAATTGAAGAAATAAAAATAAGTGTATTTTTTACATAATAATTACAATAAATGGATTCTACAAATTTTCTAAGTGGTCTACATTTAACTTAATCTGAATAATGAATATCTGTTGCCTGGGCCATTCAGGTAAAACAAATAAAAAATGTGATCTCTCCCTCTCTTTCTCTCTCTTATTCTGTTTTTCTCTTTTTCTCTCTCTTATCCTTTCTTTCCTTCTCTCTCTCTCTTTCTGGGTCTATGCATCCACATAGGATTTCTTCAGTAGGTTTTCATAATGTTAATCATATTAATAATGTTAATGTCTCTCTTAATGACTTTAATTTCTCTTTAATATCAAGCCTTTATTTCTTTAAATATCTTGACATTATTTCCACTGTCATTGCCATGTTTCTCTATTGCTTGTGTTACCCACAAGCAGGAAGTAATATCTAAAGTATTGTTTATATTCAGGATAAAAACCTTTGTTACAAATACTTAAGATTCTGTGCAACCCATAGTTTGTCTTATCAAGTTGGTTCATTATTACTGATGCTAAGTTAAATCTTGGGTTGTGATTCTGGTAGTTAGAATGTTTTAAAGTTATGGCATTTGTTTTGCAGCTAACAAGTATGTGAGACAAATTGTTGGCATGGTATGAATACCACTTTCTGAACAAATTTCCCCCCATTGAAAGTAAACATATTTGGTGGTGTTTACACTGTTTTTTTCAGTTACTTTTTTGATCTTAGCTTATATCCCATTATTTTAATGCACTGTGTTAAAATATTCTTAAGGGACAATTAAATAATTGTATACTGTGTGTGATGATATTATCAATTTACAGAAAAGAAAGTTTCATTTGCTCAACCTTCAAGATTTATGGAAAAATACTAAAGTTGGAGATACGAAATTATGTTTTTATATATATACATATAAAATAATTATGTACATATAATTTTCTCCATATTTATGTTTATGTATATGTATGTTTATACACATATATACATATATACACATATATATACTTCTGTATATATATACACACACATATACACTTGTATATATACACATGTATATATACATATACATATTTTTGTCATATTTCTTAGAAGTTAATAATTATTTTTATATTTATTCCCAATATAGGTTCCCTGAATTACTTGAATGGACAAACACAATCTGACAGTAGTGAATGAATTCATTCTAATGGGAATCACGGACATCTCTGAGCTGCAGGCTCCATTATTTGGGTTCTCCCTCATTGTATACATGTTGTCAGTGGTGGGTAACTTAGGCTTGATCATCCTCACAAAGATAGATTCTAGGCTTCAAACACCCATGTACTTTTTCCTAAGGCATCTGGCTTTCATTGATCTTGGTTATTCAACAGCAGTGGGACCCAAAATGCTAGTAAACTTTGTTGTAGATCAACATATAATCTCCTATAATTAGTGTGCTACCCAACTCACTTTCTTCAGTATATTTATCAGTAGTGAAATTTTCATTCTGTCAGCAATGGCCTATGAACGCTATGTGGCCATTTGTAACCCTCTGCTCTATATGATCATCATGTCACAAAGGGCATGTCAAATTCTAGTGGCAATACCTTATCTCTACAGTGTCTTTTTGACTTTGCTGACAGTCACAAAAATGTTTACCTCATCATTTTGTGGCTATAACATCATCAAGCATTTCTACTGTGATAGTCTGCCATTGATATCTTTGCTCTGTTCAGACACAGAAGACATTAAATTGATAATTTTAATCTTTTCAGCTTTTAATTTGATTTCATCTCTTCTGATAGTCCTTGTGTCTTACATTCTGATCCTTGTCGCCGTCCTCAGGATGAATTCTGCAGAAGGCAGGTACAAGGCCTTCTCCACCTGTGGAACTCACCTGACAGTGATAACTGTATTTTATGGCACCTTCTTCTTTATGTATGTTCACCCCAAATCCAGTCATTCACTTGATATTGACAAAATGGCCTCTTTATTTTATACTTTGATAACACCTATGTTGAATCCAATGATCTACAGTTTGAGGAATAAAGAGATAAAAAATGCTCTACGTAGAACCTGGAAAATATGTGCAAATCATCTATTTAAAATTCATTGTAGGTTATGATAACAATAAATTATGCAATAACAAATAGATACTCAAACTAATATTGCTTTACATTTGTATTGTTGCCTCCATGTGATGAGCAAGAATCAGTGTGTGATAAGCACAGAAATAGATAATTTTATTAATTACCTTTAAATAAAAATCTATCACTAACAGATGACTAATTCCTACTCATACTTTAACTATTAATCAATATTCAGTTTTAAGTTCAGCTTAGGTGCCTTTCCTATGTGTTCTCACATAGAAATTGTTTTCCATTAACTTTTTAAAATTAAAGCTAGGGACTGTATATTTTATCAGTATTTTATTCGGAGTGCCTAGTACACTGAAAGGCAGATGTATAAATAGATTCATATGATCAGTAAACATATATTGTCAAGTTAACCAACATTTCTCTTTTTTTATTTTTTATTTTTTATTTTTATTTTTTGAGATGGAGTCTCGCTATATCGCCAGGCTGGAGTGCAGTGGCACGATCTCGGCTCACTGCAACCTCCACCTCCCGGGTTCAAGCGATTCTCCTGCCTCAGCCTCCCAAGTAGCTGAGATTACAGGCACGTGCCACCACTCCCAGCTAACTTTTGTATTTTTAGTAGAGACGGGGTTTCACCATGTTGGCCAGGATGGTCTCCATCTCCTGACCTCATGATCTGCCCTCCTCGGCCTCCCAAAGTGCTGGGATTACAGGAGTGAGCCACTGCACCTGGCCCAACATTTCTCTCTTTATGAAGCCAATAGAAAATGAGTGGAATGACAAGTGAGTTATTTTGTATGATTGACAGTATTGAGTAAAATGAATATATTAGGTTGGTGCAAAAGTAACTGTGGTTTTTGCCATTACTTTAAATAAAGCAAGTAGCCAGGACAATAATTAATTTTTTAATTGAGACTTTCATGGGATTCCTCTGATGAGATAATATTTAAACAAACACCTGAAGAACTGAGTAAGTAGACTGTGTGAATACTTATGGGAAAGCTATTCCAGGGTGAGAGAACTATTAGCATAGCAGTTTTTAAAAAATAATATGACTTTTATTTTGAAAAGCAACAGTCAAAACGTGATTGGACCATAAAATAAAATTAAGAAATAGAAGATACGTTGAAGATTTGTAATGTAGAACTCAACCAAGTAAAACTATACAGGCCTTTATAAATCTTGCATTTTATCTTGATAAATAAGCCACTGTGGGATTTTTAGCTAACAAGTGTTCTGATCTATCTTTGGGTAATGGATAGCTATGACTGCTGCACAAGTTAGAGGTTGCAGAATACTAAGAATGGAAAGTTGAAAGTCCTGTGGAGGGTTAATTATGATACACTCAGAAGTGAACAGAGGCATTGACTGGGGTGGAAGATTCAGGGGATATGAAGTGTTCAGAACTTTGAATTAAAAAAAAAAATCTTTGTATCAATCTAGAGGTAAGAGACTTAAAGATGAAGATTAATGATAAAGAAAAAGAATGAAAAAATATTTACAGAGCTCACCTAAATATATCCTGAATATTCTCTTCTGCTACCAAATAATATGGAGTAATTGAGATGAGATTTTAACTTCCCATTTAAACAAGAAAAAGAAAATGAAAGACAAAATATATGAAACAGTAGCTTTCATGACACAGATGTCAGACAACTAAGGAGAGTTCCCCCTGAGAGACAGAAAACAAAGCAGTTGAATCCTGTGGTATCTTCCCTTTTCTGTCTTATGAGACTAACCAGACCGGACTGCATGAAGGGCAAACCCAAGTGAAGCTCAGAATTCCTGAGTTTAAAAGACAAGTTGAGAGTCTGCTGGTAGCCAGGGTTTGCAGGACAGAGTACCAAAGATAAGAGATCTGCACAATGGACATTGTATCTTTGCAAATAATAATTCTTAATTATTCAAGAGATGACTGATGAGAATATGCAAAATGAAACCACACATAATTGAAGAAACAATCATCCTAAAAATAAAGAGGAGTGTCCAGCACTCAAATAAAGGCAGGGATTGTAACAATTTATTACATACAGACTAGAAAAACTCATAATTCCTGAGGCTATATGTACAGTATTCAAGATCTTATTCCAGTATAAGAAAATAACCAGCCTTAGACCAATTACTGACCTGGACTCACCTGATAAATAATAAAAGTAATATCTAAAAGGATTAAATTGTTTTCAACTAATTGTATCCCACAACAAAGCTTAATAGTATTCATAAAATACAAAATTATCCAGCAAACACCAAGGCACAATTGGTAATATGTGGGATACATTGAATAATTGTCAGGCATACAAAGAATCAGGAAATCATGATCCTTAATGAACAGAATAACCAATCAATTGAAACTAACCAAGAACTGACATGGGTGTTAGAATTATCAAACAAGGGCATTAAAAGTTTTATAAGTGCATGTCATATTTTCAAAAAGGTAAGTAGGAACACAGAGGACACTACAAAATATTGAATTTCCACAGAGAGATGTACAATGTAAAAGATGAAAAGTACGTGGGATTGTATTCATAGCAGATTAGACATCATAGAAGAAAAAAAACAAGTGAACCTGTAGACATACCAATAGAAAATATCCCAAATGAAACACAGAGAATCAAAATATTTTTTTAAAAACAGAGAACAATAAGCTGAACAACTTCAAGAAGCCAAATATACATGTAATTAAACTCCTCAAAGAAGAGGGCCATTAAAATTATTTAAATAAATTATAGGTGAAAGTTTTCCAATTGTTAAAAATTAAAAACCCTCAGATTCAAGAAGATTAAACAATCCCAGGTACAAACAATATGTAGAAAACTAACTGAAGACACATTGTAATCCAATGTGCTATATATATGTACAAATATATATCTATATATATATATACAGACTATATATGGAATGTACAAATATATATAGCACTTTGAATTACAATGTGGAATACTACATGGCTAATACAATATATATGGAATACTATATGAAATATTCTATACATATGTGGAATATTGTATAGCCATAAAAAGAAGAAAATCATGTCTTTTGCAGTAATGTGGATGCAGCTGAAGGCCATTATTCTAAGCATATTAACACAGGAACAGGAAATCAAATAATACATGTTGTCACTTATAAGTGAGAACTAAAGATTGTGTTCAAATAGACATAAAGATGGGTGGGAATGATAGACACTGGGCACTGGGGTACACTAGAGGAGAAGAGAGAGCAAGGTGCAAGGGTTGAAAAGCTACATATTGGGTGCTATGTTCACTACCTGGGTGATGGGATCACTTGTATACCAAACTTCAGTGATACTCAAATTACCCATGTAACAAACCAGCACATGTAGCCCTGAACCCCAAACAAAAGTGGAGAGAAAACAAAACAAAACAAAATAAAAACAAACACAATTTCACACAGCAAGTGATAAATAAAAACCTTAAGCAGTCAAAACACAAACACTTTGTATACAGAGGAATAAGAAAAATAATAACATTTTATTTCATGTAACATCATTGTTCATTTAGCTTCTCCTCAAAAACATTGCAAGTCAAGATACAGCAGAGCAACAGCATCAAAACACTGAAACAGAATAACTGTCACCTAGGATTCTTTACCCAGGGAATACATATTTTGAAAAGGAATGTGAAATAAAGTTATTTCAGACATATCAACACTGAAAGAACCCTTCATGATTAAACTTGCACTAAAAGAAATGATAAATGAAGCCCATCAATCAGAAGGGAAAAAAATACCAGATTGAAATGTGATTCTAGACAAAAGAATGAACAGCACCAGAAGTGACTACATAGTGATTTCAATAATTTAAATCTATGTGAAAGATAATTATTTGTTTAAGAGTAATAAAAATATACAACAAAGCTGTTATAAAGGAGATGGCAGGAGTGGTTAAATACTGTAAAGTTCTTATTTTATATGTGAAGGGATATAATTACACTTGAAAGTAAACTATTACAAGTAAAATATCTATGCCCTAAAACAAACGCTAAAATAACAACCACCACCACCACAACAAAAAGAGTTGTTCTGAATGTTGTATTCTTCCCAAATGTATATGTTGAAATCCTAACCCCCAAGGTGATGGTATTAGAAGGTAGGACCTTTGGGAGAAACGAGATCATGAGAGTAGATTCTCATGAATGAGATTAGTGTCCTTGTGAGAGAGGACTCAGGGAACTTCTTACCTCCTTCCACTATATGAAGACACAGGGAGAAGACACCATCTATGATCCAGAGAGGAAGACCTTACTAGACACCAAATCTACTGGCACCTTGATCTTGGACTTCCCAGCCTCTAGAATTGTATTAAGTAAATTTCTATTGTTTAGGAACCACCCATTTTATGGTAATTTGTTATAGCAACTCTAATAAACAAAGAAAGTTTTTAAGTCCACAATAAAAAGAACAGAAAAAAGGGAAAATAGAACACCAACAACAAATGGCATTCTCTATGTCTTAATTTAGCCATCACAATAGTTCTGTGAGCTAAGTTTTACTAAAAGTTCCATTTTTCAGATGATAAAAATAAAGGTTTAGAAAGGGTAAATAAATTGTCAGAATTCACCAATGTATTAGGTAGTACAAATAGGTTTCAAAGCCAGGTAATCAAATCCAGATTTCATGCTCTCAACAACTACCCTATATTGTCCCTTAATGTCATTTTTGCCTTTGTTGCTGTCATCCTGAGACAACATAGAGCAAAGCTCCACTTTGGCAGGTGTCAGATTGAAAGAAGAGAAATAGCAGAGAGATCAGTTATAAGATGTACATGTTCTGGGGCTCTATGATTTCTATAATTAATAATACTGTATTGTTTACCTGAATTTGATAAGAAAGCACATTTTAAGTATCTTTGCTACATACACATAAACACTCAAAAAAGAAAAGAGGAAACTAAGAGTGGTGATGGATATGTTAATTAATTTGACTGTGTAATCAGTACACAATATATATGTATAGCAAATCATCACATTGTACATCTTGATTTTATGTAATTTTACTTGACAATGAAATATTTAAATATGATAAATGAATAAAGATCATAACCACTTCAAGCATAGAATATTAATTCAATAATCAATCACTACATCAACACACAGAAATATAAGCTAATCAGTGGATTATCAATGCTTGACTTTGTCAAATAGAAACCATCATGAAATGGTTGCAGAGTATAATTTGTGTGGATTAGTAATAAATTTTGGGGGGGATAGGAGCAATAATTAGCATTAAGTAATCAAGAACAGGCTGAAAAAGAAATAAACAAAGGTGTATCAATTTTAATCAATGATTTCTGTCCTAGGAAGTTCATCCACATTTGAAAAAAGATGATTTAGGAAGATCAGAATTTAGAAATTAAAACAAAAACAATTGACTATTGCTAATGCAGGAGGAAGTCAGCTCAGAATAATGTAAAAAACAGATGTCCCTTCCATGAAAAAGAGAAGTGTGTGGAGGAAGTATTTATTTGACATCAACTTCTGCTTCGTGGACCTGAGCAATTTTATGTGAGTTTCATCAATTTCGGAAAGTTAATTTAAGGACAAGACAATGAAAAACATACTGCCTCTGAAATTGTTGAGCTACTTAACTAATAAAAAAAATGACAGTCATCAGTCTCCAACCTCACGTCACTTAAAAAATTTAAACCATCTGCCTTGAGCCATCATTTGTTGAGCAATCTGTTAAATGCATAGGAGAAGCATTTCTAAATGATACAATGGAGAATAGTAGAAACACTCCATGCAATTTTGAAGGATGGGCACCGTTTTATTCTAAGGTGTGACATATGCATAGAATAAGACGGGAAGAACACCTCCTTCCTCACAGATGTACAGTATATTGGATTTTGTTATGATTAATGTAAACATACAAAAGTTACTCACCACAGTGATTAGACAGATCAAGAGGAAAAATATGCAACTCAGAAATATTTATCAACCTCAAGAAAATAGTGTTACTAATCAATCTATGTAGTTTCTCATTGAAAGAGTTCGTGTAAACAATAAAGAATTAATTGAGGAGTTGGGTATGAAAATTAAGTTTTATTATCTTTAGAATAAGAAATGATTTGTGATTCATTAAAATACTTAATGATTTGCCACAGTCTTTATATTCCCAATTGTTCAATTGTATCTGCATATGATTTTTTTTAATTATAGAAAAGTACCACCAGAGTAGAAAGGGTGGGTGGAATGACAAATTGACAAATCCTTAGATTCCCTGGGCAAAGAGTAAACCACTGGAATCCTACGAGGGAGGGAGTTTTCAAAAATCAAGAAACAGGAAGAGCTACATGCAAATTTCCAGTACATGTGAGTGGTACACTTTAGAGCAAGGAAAAGAAAACCCCTCACAAGGGTATGTAGTATTTCTCTCATTCCCCACTGTGTTATATTTGAGCAGAAGTTTACACTGCATTTAAAGTTAGTGTTATTTTTATAAGAGCCTTAATGATAAGAATTAAAACATTTGGTATGCTATTTTTAAATTCTAACAAATAAACATGACATAATACATAAAATAATAGCAAAATATAAAAACCAATCTATCCATCTATTTATATAATTTGTGGCTCAAAATATCAGATTACCACTCATCAATATAAATCAACCAGTCCCAGAGTAGACAAAATGTATATTGTTGTTCTTCTGCCACAGAAAATATTGGCACTTAGAAGGTCACCTTTTCATGGAATTACTCTTTATCCATCACAGCTGACATATATTCAAGGGACTTATTTTCAAAGTAATCTGCCTACAAATAATAACATACAGAGATTCTTTCAAGGTTTTATTTTTTAAGTTATTTAATTTCTAGATATTTTCTAGCCATGAATAAATTTATTACATATTGAACAAAAAATGCATTCTGCCTCTTGCTGAGTGGATTATACATAATCTCTTGATTTCATACCTAATAATAGATAAATTGATTATTTTTATGTTGCTAATTTTATTTTATCCCTTTATTGAGATGTAATTATAAGCCATATAATTTGCTCATTTAAAGTGCACAAGTCAATGGTTTTAATATTTCGCACTTTGAAACCATCAGAACAATCAATTTTAGATCAATATCAATAAACCAGAATGAAACTTCATGCTCATTACCAGTTAGTCCTAACTTCCCCTCAACAAGCCCCATCACATACCTAGGAAACCACCAATTCTGTCTCTATGAATTATTTTATTATGGACATTTTAAAATAAATGTAATTGTAAAATGCTGGACCTATGTGTCTGAATTCTTTCACTTACCAGAAACCTGGACATTTTTGTACTATGTTATGAGGCACCAGATTTTATTATTTTATTCTGTTTTAACTGTCTCTCTGAGAACAATCTGACACACGAAGGTGGAAACGGCCTCATTACTACCAGGTGAAAGTAGAAGACAAGATTCTCCATCTGATCTTCATTGATATTGGGGGAGGTAGCCCACATACAGCTGGACAGACCTGAGCTTCCAATATCTCACATGGTCTCTACTAACACTGCAGTGGGGATTGTCTCATTGCCACAGAGCAATGCCCTCATTTGATACCACTCTAACAGAGAGGGGAAGGGTGCCTCATTACTGCCTCCAAGTAGACTTCCAGGCTTCATTTCTGGTCTCCATTGACACTATGGGTCTAGGAAGCAGGGATCATTACCAGAAAGCAGATATGAAACTCCTGTCTCCCTGCGTGGCCTTTTCTCACATTATTCTGAAGGGGCTTTAGGAACTGTCATTCCAGCCTTGTGAGGATGGAAGTCTAAGCTCCCTCCTTGGCTTTTGCTTGTGTGGTTGAGGATGAAGGCCACCGTTTCTGTTGTTTTGTTTTGCTTTTCCATGATGTTTAGTTGTAGTAGATACACTATTGTTTAAAAATACTGTCTTTCTAAGTGTCCCTTTTCCTGGCCCCTTATCTTGAGAGAACTGAATCCTTTTGCTGCTTTTTATTCAGGGGGCTGTGTATGTGTGACAGAGAGATCACCTGTTGGCATTTCTGGGTGTTTGGCTTCTTCAGCTTCCAGTCTGTAGTCTGAAGTCAGGTAATGTGATACGTCAGCCTTTGAGGACATGAACATATACGTTTCAAAGGAAGACATATAACTGACCAAGAAACATATGAAAAATACTAGAGTGGGGAGAGAAACGGAAGCAAGGGCTGAAAAACTACCTAATGGGTATTATACTCACTACATGGGTGATGAGTTCAATTGTACTCTAAACCTCAGTATCATCAATATAGTTTTCTAACAAACCTAAATAAATATCCCTTGATTATAAAATAAAAGTTGAAAAAAATCAATGTAATTGCTCATATCAACAGAATAAAATGCATACCTGAATTTCTCAATGCAGAAACATTATTTGATGAGATGCAATATCAATTTATAGCATAAAATACAAGTGAATTCTCAGCAATCTGGAAAATGAAATGAACTTGCTGAGGAAGAGATAAAGGATATCTATACTAAAACCTACAGTAAACATCATATTTAACCATGAAATGACATATTCCTCCTAATAGCTGAAAAAAGGCAACGTTGTTTGTCCTTGCCACACCTATTTTATACTATAATGGAGATCCCAGCCTATGCAATAAGGTAAGAAAAACAAATTTATAAAACCAGATCTGAAACAAACAAGTAGAGTTGTTTCTATTTGCAAATGATAGGACTGTTTATGCAGAAAAAGAATCTGCAAAAGTAACTAGAAATATTATGTACAGAAATGTAACAGTATGTAAGAGCAATTTACTAAATTCCATTGTATTTCTGTATATAAGCAATAAACATTGGAAGTTTAAAGAAAAATAAAATGTATTAAAATAAAACAAAAATGTGAAGTATTTAGATATAAATCTAATAAAAAGTGTACTGTATCTTCATGTTGAAAACTGCTAAACTGGGGTAAAATAAATCAGGAGAAACATAAAAGATAATTCTGAAATATAAATGGAAAGGCAAAGAAACTAGAATATCTCAAATAATTTCGAAAAAGAAGAAAAAGGAAAAAAAGAAGCTAGGGAGGGAACTCACATATTAACTTTGGGTTTCTTCTTATTTATGAATAACACAGAATTAGGCAAAGTGGGAGCTGATGATTCAAAATACAATAATTAGCAAAGATAAAATAGTCACAAAAATAGAAATCAAAAACTTCTAAAGAGAGTGGGCTAATTGATGTTTATTGCCTGAGTGTCTAATTCCATATATATGTGTGTATATATATATATATGTGTGTGTGTGTGTGTGTATATATATATACACTTTTATATATATATATACTTTTATATATATATATACTTTTATATATATATATATACTTTTATATATATATATACTTTTATATATATATATACTTTTTTTCATACTAACAGCAGGATTATAGGGAGGCTTTCAGTGCACAATGATATTTAATTGTCAATATCATAGTCTGAAGTTATTTATTCTGTGTGCTTATTGTCATTGTTTTATTAATAATATTATAGTGATGATGGTTATCACTATTGCTGTTAGAAGTAATTTTGTGGCATTAACTCCATATCCCTCATGAATGACTGTCACGTATACTTAAATGTGAACAATATTCATTTCATAAGCATTTTAAAATTTATTTGCACAATCACTTTTATAATTGGATTTTCCAATATAGGAATAAGTTCAAAAAACTATTTTTTTCTGTTTATGAATTTTCATTAGCAAATTGTATATGTCTGACTTGCCAACTATAAAGCTGGAACTACACATTTACTTGGCTATTTCTTCAACTGTCTCATGAACTTTAAGTATCAAGATTCTTTCCTCTGATCATGATAGTAGAGTTCAAAAATACAGAAAAATACACTTAATTCAAATTAATTTAATATTAATGCAAATATTTCCTCAAATTTTTGCTAATGGCAAAAGTTAACATTACATAATGGAAGAAAACTATCAAATCTTAGAATGGATAATTACAGAAGTGAGTCAATGAACAGGTTTTAACTTACATAGTCTGATTTTAAGTATTTAATATATTCCATGAAATTTCTGTAAACGATAAATTTGTGGAATTTTAACTATCTTATTTGCAGTTTTTTATTTTAGATCTTTAATGATAGAAAAAATATTCAAAAAAGAGAGATAAAATGTGTTTTTAATTTTAAATACTTCAAAATGACTATATTATTCTATTCATGCAATTAAAATTTTTAAATCTTAAGCTAAAATTTTATGAGGCTTTTGCTATAATCTCAGAAGTAATCATAGGGATAGCTACCCTCTCTCTTCAGAGTTTAAATCATAGAGAAGGAGATTAACAAAAACATGTTTTTGAAAGAGCTGGAGAGAAAATAATCTCTTCAGTTTATTTCTATGAGGGGCCTGCCACTGTTTAAAATATTTAAATTATAAGTCAATGAAGGCACATTTCAGTTGTATAATTATATCTATTTTCTTGGAAATTCAAGGACTAGTTATTTTTTCCTACAAAGTACCCTATTTTTATATCCTTAAGTGCAAGTATTATTATAATTTTGTAACCCCAAATAACAGAAAAGAACAGATGTAATACTGTACTATGTATTGATTATTACGTGAATAACCTAGAATATCAGCATAACTAAGTGATAGATTGTTGTTTTTGTGTTGCAGGTATGTGAATTAAGTTTTCTCTTCTGGCTGCCTCCTGAAATGCAACAAAAGTATATAGAATGAGAATATCTGTAAAGTCTTGAGAAGCTTTGGCATTCACGGAATTCTTGGAAGTGAGAACTGAATGACAGAATGTTGTAGGATTAATAGTGACTTGAAATTAACAGAGGAAATGTTTCATTTCTATGGCCCTTTTCACTGCCTCCTTTACGTCCTTGTTTCTCAAACTGTGTATCAACAGGTTTAACATGGGAATCCCTAGCGTATAGAACATAGAAACCACTTTCTCTTGTTCCACAAAATACTGGGAGCTTGGCTGAATGTAGCTAAAGATTAAGGTACCATAGAATATGGTCACAGCAGTCAGGTGAGAGGCACAGGTGGAGAAGGCTTGCTGTCTGCCTGATGCTGAGTGGATCCTTAGGCTAGCAAAAGCAATGAAGATGTAGGAAATGATCACAGTCAAGAAGGTGGCCATGGCAATGACTCCGGAGAAGGTTAACAGCAACAACTCATTCATGGAGGTGTCAGAACATGACAGCTTTAGCAGTGAAGGAATGTCACAGAAGAAGTGGCTGACAGCATTTAGCCTACAAAAGGACAGTCTCCTCAAGCTGATTGTGTGGATTAATGTGTTAACTATTCCACCTATCCATGATCCTGTGACAAGCTCCACACACTTTCTATCAGACATGGCTACAGTGTAAAGCAAGGGACTCACAATGGCCACATAGCGGTCATAGGCCATCACTGACAGTAAGAAGCCTTCTGTGGTGATGAACACTCCGAAACACAAATGCTGTACCATGCAAGCAGAGAAAGAAATTGTTGCCTTCACAACCAGGAGGTTCACCAGCATTTTGGGTGCAATTGCAGATGAATAGCAGGCATCCACAAATGAAAGACAGCTGAGTAAAAAGTACATGGGTGTGTGGAGTTTGGAGGTGATTTGGATTAAGAGGATCATGCCCAGATTCCTCAACAAGGTAATGGCGTAAATCACCAGGAACACCACAAAAAGCACAGCTTTTAGTTCAGCATGATCTGTCAATCCCAAAAGAATAAACTCAGTGACAACTGTAAAATTATCATCAGCCATATGTTTCTTTCTTTTTCACAAAATCTACTGTGAAAAAAAGATAGACTCATAATTTGTCAGGGGGAAAATACATATATATTACATATATAAAGTATTTAAATTGATACATATTTTATACACATACACATGCACAAGGATAAAATACAGACAACTACTGATGTTGTTCTTCAGGTAAATAATCTTCTTTCTTGAATTCTGAGGATTTTCATCAATAAATTTAGCAAGTAGGCTAGACAGTCTCTAATATTTTTTCCAGTGACACTTTATGTGCTTATACCTCATAGAAATCGATGTGTAAAAATGATTTTTTCTCACAGCATCTGTCTCTGAAATGTCTAGCTCCATAACAAAGTGCCACCAAAACTGATAAAACACTAGTGATAATTTAAATGAACAGTATGTAAAATACATATTGTTAGAATATTAAATTACCATTCAATGAAACTCCTTTCTGGTAATTTTTTGGTTTGTTTTTGAGTAAATAAGAAAACTTTCTAAAATTGCCTGTATTTTCTATTTATAGAGGGAATTAATCTACAGTTGCATTATTATAGACAGCAAAGTGGCCACAATAATGAAGTAAGGTGGATCAGGGACCCACAGTGATGACATTGGAAAATGCCAGGGAGCCAGAGACTGGCCTCTGTGACTATGGGTGGCATGGTGTGGCAACACCAAACTCTGAAACTCATGAAATAACACCCTGTCTCTTGAATGACACCTACTAAAAGAAGTGGGGATTCTTAACTCTAGGTAATCCTCCCTGCAATCATGGTGGGAGAGTAGCCCTAATCATTTACTCTGAGATTGAGGACCTAGAATCCCACATATTGCATGAAATGGAGCCTTCCTGTTTTTTTTTTTTTTTTTTTTTTCTGAGACTTCAAATAATTTTAGGCAATAAAACAAACTCAATAATTTAGAACATGAATATATATACTCACCAAATATTCTGTGATACTTCTTCCTCTTATTCATCCTATAAAAGGTAGTTTAGACAATTTAAGACTTTCTAAAAATGTAATTTCAATTGGAACAATACACACCTGCACCTCCTATTCAAAGCTATTCACCTGTTTCATAATCAACTATCTCCCACTCTTATTTCCTATTAAATGGATTGTAGTTTTAGAAATGATGAGAAACAAATATTGATTCAGTCTATGTGTAATTTATACCCCTTATTAATTTTAATTAAAATATTTCAAAGACAACAATGGTGAAAAGTGAAAATACATAGTTGACAATAACTGGCTTTATTTAATTGGACAAGTTAACTTATTTCATCCAAGATATAATTATAATTACTTCTCTAGAATCCCTGAGTGTATTGAAGGAGTGTATTGAAAAATACTTTATTACAATGAAGTATTTTTGTTTCTTTAACAATTAACAAATTAGATAGTTACGTAAGTATATGAAGCATAACCAGATAGATAGATAGAACAGTGATAGACACTTAGTGTAATATATTTTGATTCACAGTGATCAGGTAAAGCTTTAAAAACTTTCTAATTGATTTCTTTGATGCAGCATTTCTGCAATGTTTAAGCACTATTTTTATTTATTTATTTTAGTAAATGTTTATCTCAAGTTATTCACTAACTAGCATTGTTAAATATAACGTGAAAATGCATATTTTTTAATGATTTTCTAAATGATCTTTAGTAATTTCCAACAGATATGACAATATGGATAAGTACTGTAAACAATAATCCTAAGTATTTAAAAACTGCATTTTTATACAACATATATGCTCTTTTTTCTACCACTCTTAGAATATCAGCTGGATAGTTTTCTCAATAAAAGAGGAATACTTATAGATATGAATTATAAGTATAATTTAGAAAATAGTATGTTTGAAGAAATTAGAAATTAAATTAACTATCAAAATGTATAAGTGTACAACTTTCAGCAAAATTAGGTGGAAATATTGTAAATGGAATCACATAATAAGGCACAGTGTTAACTTACAGAAAATTTAAGATTCAAAACCTTAAGGATTTTATCTAACTGAAAATTTCAATTACCTGCAGAATGAATGCTAAATATGAAAAAATAAATATTCAAATGAATGAATAAAACTTACCAAAGACGGAAAAATTTTTAAGGGATGGGCTTGCTTAAAATGCTCATGTCCATCTCCGTTTTCTTACTGTTCACTTAAAAATGCAATCAGTTAATACATTTTTCTGAGATTTGGAATGATCAATATTATAATGGTAGTTAACTTAAGATCATTCAGTAAAAATAATTCATATAAAACCTAGGTTTCAATATAGAACGAACATAATGGAAACAAAGAAACGATGATTATACATCTTTAATTGTTTATGAGAACAAATTATAAGAAGGTGGAAGTCTATACATATATATAAATGTATATATGCATTTTCGTGTGATCAAATGAGGCCAGAGTCCCTGTAGTTCAGAGTCTATGTAAAGTAACATAGCAACAACAAGAAAATTACACATTGTTTTGCATCCTGTTTTCTCAGGAGACTTTCTCAAGATATCTCGATGGGAATGGTATTCTCTGAGGTTTGCAATATTACAAAAAGAAAGGTTCAAAAAGTGAAAGAAGGCTTAAAGCCATGGATGAGAAAATAGTAGAAATAGTCACACTTTAAATAATGTGCTTAAATTGCATAGCATTTTATTAAGATTAACTATTACTACAACTACCCTGTGTAAGGCAAAAATGCATAAGGAAATCCAATTTGATAATAGCCAGCCTATTAAAAAACTTTTAGGATGCAGCATCCCACCTCCTACCTCCACATATTCCTGTTGAGAGTCTAAATCTGCCTTCCATATAGCAGATAGAACGGCCACTTATCACTCCTATCGAATGTGATATTTAGCTTCAATAGTCTCATTTCTTTAACAAATATTTCTGGGGGACAAAGACAAGCTATACGTTGTGTAAGGCACTAGAAAAATATGGATTATCAATAACAAACAAGGAAGGAAACATAGTTAGACTTCCTCTTCCAGCAAGTGGAGGCTATTAGGTTGGTGCAAAAGTGATGGAGGTAGGAGACTCGCTTGAACCCGGGAGGCGGAAGTTGCAGTGAGCCGAGATCGCGCCATTGCACTCCAGCCTGGGGCGACAGGAGTGAAACTCCATCAAAAAAAAAAAAATAAAAGAAGATGGTGGTTTTTGCCATTACTTTTAGCGGCAATTAAAAACTGCGATTCAGTTTTTCACATTAAAAGTGATAGCAAAAGAAGGCCAGGAGCGGTGGCTCACGCCTGTAATCCCAGCCTTCTGGGAGGCCAAGACGCGCCGATCACTTGAGGCCAGGAGTTCCAGACCACCCTGGTCAACATGGTGAAACCCCGTCTCAACTAAAAATACAAAAATTAGCCGGGCGTGGTGTTGGGCGCCTGTAATCCCAGTTACTCGGGAGGCTGAGGTAGGAGAATTGCTTGAACCCGGGAGGCAGAGGTTTCAGTGGGCCGAGATCGCCCCACTGCACTCCAACCTGGGTGACAGAGCAAGAATTAAAAAAAAAAAAAAAAAAAAAGGAAAGAGAAAAAAAACAACTATTAGCAAAAACCCCGATTACTTTTGCACCAACCTATAGATATAACTGCACTCCCCTCAAAAAATATTTTTTAAAGAGTACATTGAAATACAAACTATAAAAGTAAAAGATGCTGTGACATTTGTAGATTTATTCATAAAAATAATTGGAATTGTTTTTGTGCACAGAGGAAGAAAAAAAAACAGAAAACCAGGAGAAAAAAATGAAGTTTACACTATGATGCTCCTGGGAGTATTTTCAAACCTTTTTAAGTGAGGTTCAATTTGTTCAAAATAGATGCTAAGCCTGTGGGTCCATAAACAACACAAAATTCCATTGAAACCCAAATATAAATCCAATACTTTTGAAACATTGGAATTATCATTGTAAATGCTAGGTAAATCTGCTTATCAGCAAAAATTTTAAATAAACCTGGCCATCATGCTCTGGCACGTTGTAAGGAAAACACCTTACCTGTAAATCAGCAACCACAGCCCTTCCTCACACGGAATGAACTTTGGATTTTGCTTCCTGCACAACTGAAGCAACCTCAAGATGAGAAATAATGCACAGTGGTCTACACTGGAAACATTGTGGGACATCTAACAAAAGCAAATTGAAATCTATGAATGGATGCCTTTTCAACACAGCCTTCCAAGATTATCACAGAGAAGATTCTGTTAAATGTAAACTCACCATCTAATTGCAACACAAGAAAGCACGTCTTCAAATTAACACAATAAATCTATTTAAAATGTTCAGAAAAAAAATATTGTCAAAAGGTCAAGGAAAGAAAAAAGCAAAGAGTATAATACTTCCTCCAAAAAGAGCAGGATTACAGGCTGATTGAACTAGTTATGTTCTAAGCAATGAGTGAATAAACACTCTGAGAAAGTCTAGTCAGAGAAAATCTGTAGATTTCACAGTATTGCAGAATTGAATGAGGAAGGAAGACCATCAAAAACCAACAAAATAAACAGAAGAAAGCAAGCGTAACACATTTTCAGCTGAACAGGGACATATGATTTTTGATCCATGGCAGCATAAACAAAATCAGTATTGGAATGGAAGATATGTCTGACAATGTTAAACTGGAGACTCCAATATAAACACAAGTAGAGCACCTGCTATTCTACAGAAGCAAACTTCTATGATTTTCAAAGGAGATTATCTCCAATTAACTAGTTACTATGACGACCACAGCATTCCCAGATTTTTGTAGAAAAAAATATTCTTGTCTGTGTAAGCCCTTGCCAATCTGAAGAAAAAAATATGAATTTAGTTCAATGACAATTTCAGGTATTTGAATCATCATATACATCTTATAAAATAACCATGAATAAATATAAAAACTAAAATTTTGTGACAATTGAGAAATAAAGAGTGAAAAAATTGTACTAAGTAATATTGCATAAAAGAAAATACCATACCCATATTAATATCAGAGATTTTAACCAACAATGTTGAGATCATGATAGTCAATGTATAAAAATTAAAGTTTCAAGTAAGTAGTTAAGTATTACAATTGTAAATTTTCATGCATCTGTACAAATTAGTGGGATCTGTAACTCTTTCCCTTCCTTTTCAGGGATGCATTAAAAATATTGACTCTAGCAAATTTTCTTGTAAAAATACTTTGGTATGTTACCAGTAGGACAATATCCAGGAAATTCTTCTTTACAAAATGTTTTGCTTTTTGTAAATAATTTTGGAATTTATGAACTTATGTTTTCCAAGTAGGTGAGAAATGACAATTAGTTTCTATAACCAATATACTATATAACTGACCTAGTGTAAAAACTAAGAAAACCTAAACCTATGATCTAGTGAAATTGGCTAAGTAGATAGACAAAAAAAAGAAAAAGCCATGCAGTGGGAAAGCTAGCAAAAAATACTGCCCTCTTGATATTGCTAGCACAATTTTTAAAAATAAAATTTATAAAAGAAGAAAAGAAAGGAGACATAAGATTTAGAAAAACTAAATTTCCCATATCCCCTGACCATGTGGGTAGAAGCTATTACATTCATAGGCAAGGCCACCCATCATTGGTCGCCTGGAAGCCTATAAATGTAGCCAGAATCACAGCTAGGAAACCATGGACTCCTAAGGTTATATTGATATCAAGCTGAAATAATTCACAGAGAAATATTAGCAGAAGAATGATAACCCTATGCCAGCATGCATTCTCCAATTAAAATGTGAGTGCGTAATATTACTAATTCTAGATACAACTAAATTGGAGAGATATCTTGGGGTGATTCTGATCTGCAAGTGGCTGCAAACTTCTATGACCTGACCATTCTGAAAGATGTGACAACTAACTTGTGATGAGTAAAAGGCAAGATTTTAACAAATTTACTCTGAGGGAAGAAAACTGCCCTATTCACTAAGAAATGGAAGGCTCCATCTGAAGATGTAGGGATAATATAGTTTACACGTAACCTAAGATTGCTGGTTTGACAATCAGAAAGACACAGTCGATTTAAAGTTTTGGCACATCGTGTAACCTCTCTTTTGGAGGGGGCTGGAAAATATTTGAGAAGCAGTCACTTATTTACTAGTTTAGATATCATGTATGTGGCTAAATTATGGTAAAAGATTCATGGTTTTCCAAAGAAAAGTGAAACTGAGAAAAAAGAAGAATTAAAAGGGAGGGTGTAATAATAAATAACCAGTGTAAGAGGAGATAGTACTTATCTTGACTGAAAATAAAAAAAGATTTTAAAAATGGATGAACAAAAATCTGTGTTGTAGAATTTTTATGCCTGAACTTAAAAATAAACATAAATAATATTGATTGCAAAAATAAAAAACATAGATAATATTTTTTTAAAAAATCAAGACAAAAGGAAGAATTTTAATGGGGAATTAAAAGCTATATTTTAAATTAGTTTTCTGCATTCATTTAGGTAAACACGTTACTGTGGGGCAACAGTCCAATCAATGACTACAAAAAGCTGTGTGATTTTTAAAAATTATATCATGAAGCATCAGTGAGCTGTAAAAACAATGATTTTTACATAAACTAAAAGAACTTTTAGAAAATAATAGAGAATTTTCAATCTTTCATTCACTGGACTGTTTACCTATTCTGAAATAGGCTGCTGGATCAAGCTTGCCCAAGTAGGGAGTCTGTCATGGAGGGGAAAAAACCTGCAAAGCTTTGGTGATCAGTGCTAGAATGACAAATTTGAAATTTCAGAAATCTCAAATATATGGCAGATTCTTCATGTGAAACATTTCTGGTGCTGTTATGTAGAGTTACATAATGAGATGAAATCTGTCAAATGAAGAGAGAAATCTGTTTCAGTCACTCCAGTGTATTAGAAAGGGAAAACTTCCACAGTGGCTGAACTAATTCATTCCCATCAACAGTGCTTAAGCATTCCCTTTTCTCTGCAGCCTGAACAGTATCTGTTGTTTTTTCACTTTTTAAGCATATCCATCCTGGCTGGTGTGAGATGATATCTCATTGGAGTTTTGATGCATTTCTCTGATGATAAGTGATGATGAGCATTTTTTTCATATTTTTATTGACTGCCTGTATGTGTCTTCCTTTGGTAAGTGTCTGTTCATATTCTTTGCCCATTTTTTAAATGGAATTATTTGCTTTTTGCTTGTCGATTTGTTTAAGTTCCTTATAGATTCTGGATATTAGAATTTTGTCAGATGAATAGTTTGCAAATATTTTCTCCCATTCTGTAGGTTGTTTGTTTATACTGTTAAGAGTTTATTTTGCTGGACAAAAGCTCCTTGTTTTAATTAGGTCTCACTTGTCAATTTTTGCTTTTGCTGCAATTGCGTTTGAGGATTTAACCGTAAACTATTTGCCAACACCAATATCAAGAAGGGTATTTCATAAGTTTTCTTCTAGTATTTTTATAGTTTTTTGGTCTTACATTTAAGTCTTTAATTTATCTTGAGTTAATTTTTGTATGTGGTGAAAAGTGGGGGTCCAGTTTCATTCTTCTGCATAGGGCTACCCAGTTATCCCAGCACCATTTACTGAATAGGGAGTCTTTTCCTCATTGCTTGTTTTTGTTGGTCTTGTCAAAGATCAGATAATTGTAGCTATGCAGCTTTTTTCAAAGAACTTAAAGCAGAGCTACAATTTGATTCAGCAATCCCGTAACTGAGTATATACCCAAAAGAAAACAGACCACTTTGCCAAAATGACACATGCACTCATATGTTCATCAGCATGCTATTCACAATAGCAAAGACATGGAATCAACCTAGGTGTTTATCAATAGTGGATTGGATAAAGAAAATGTGGTGTATATACACCACAGCCATAAAAAAGAATTAAATCATTTCCTTTGCAGCAACATGGTTGCATCTGAAGGCCATTACCATAAGCAAATTATGCAGGAACAGAAAACCAAATACCACTTTCTAACTGATAAGTGGAGACTAAACTTTGAGCAAACATAGACATAAACATGGGAACAATAAACACTGCAGACTACTAGAGTGGGGAGGAAGGGAGGCACGTGTGGATTGAAACACTATCTATTAGGTACTATGCTCTGTACCTGGGTACTACATTCTCATGTAACAAGACTGAACATGTACCCCTTGTATCTAAAATAAAGTTCAAATTAAAAAAAAAAAAGGAAATCTTCCACTAAGATTTACTGCACTGAGTGTGAAATTTAGATGAAAATACAAGGGAGAAAAAATAGCTAAATCCTTCTGAAAAAAAGAATAATAGGGGAGAAGTAGTAGCCTCTCTAGATTTCTAGGTATATTAGGTAGAGTATTTAATACAATTAAATATTGGCACAGGAATAAAAAAATAGATCAATGAGGTAGCAGAGATAGCATTGACTCAGTATCTTTAATTTACATATACATGAATTCCCAATTTCTAAAAAATTGATAAAGACAATGAACAGTGTGTCTTTCCAATAAATGACATTTATATATTTGAGTGTCCATATAGGCAAGTAAGAGAAAGTATATAACCTTTTTTGATGATAATACATGTCTTATTAGAATAAGGGTAGAAATAACCAAAATTTTTTAAAAAATAAACAAATCAACAGTGCTGAAATTACAAAATGTTGTCAAAGGAGGAAATAAATAGTAAAAAGATAAAACAAACCATGAAATAGAATATGTTTGCAATATATGCAACCAATGCAGATCCCACATCAAGAATTTATAGCTCTTACAAACAACAAATGGCTATATTAATAATACTTCAAGTCCTAAATATCAATAAAAGAAAGAGCACAGAGCTACCTCCTTGATAATAATCATCTATTTATACCCACGATTTCTTTGAATGTCACTGTGACTCTTATTGTTAAAAAAAAAAAAAATACACACTCTTTCATTAAGTTTCAACAATTCTCAGAGCCAGGTAAATTTTACCTGCCAAATGAAATTCTTACTTATTTTCCTAAATCTTCATCTTCTAAACCTGTATTTCCAGTGTTTTCAAATCCTATGAAAAATATAAAATTTGTGTTTAATAGTGTGATGTGGGTGTGTTAAAAATGATTATTTGCAAATTTATTTGTGTGATATAACATTTCTGCATCACACTACTCATTGCTTAAACATAGCCAGGCTCATGAGCATTGTTTTATTATTAAATAAGTATTTGTATGGAACACAGAAAAATATAAGCTTCCACAGATAATAACATGCATTAGAATGTCCGGGGCTGTTTTTAACTTTTATGTGTATAAACTCCATCAGAATATATGTAGGAAAAACTCTAGCCTACTAAGTGGTAGAATCAGAAATATAATAATGGTTACCTAAGGAGAGATGGGGCAAGTTGATTTACTTTTATCAACCATCTTTTTAAAAATTCACTTCTCTGTATATGAATAAGTGTGAAAATATATGCATAAATATAATGCTTGCCATATAAATGAAAGTTCTACTTACATGAAACATATTGGTATGAACTACTATTATAAGCATTACAATGAAGATTATGATTCCATTTGAAAGTGCATTTTAGAGAATGTGACTTACATTATACATGAATAAACATCACATTTACTCTAAATCAATCTGTTTCCATGCCCCATATTTTTCAAAATGTATACAAAAAAGTACTCTTACAATAGTTTTGTTGTTGTTTATAAAAAAGATAAAAATTGCTTATGCTTTTCAAAATGTCATTCTTGCTAGCACAGTGACATCTGGTTTGCTAAGTAAGAAGCAGTAAATATAAAATTGCTCAAATATTCAAAAAAACTTAACTTTAGTTGTAAATACCTGAGGTTGTGTTCTATGATCTCAGTAGTTAATGCAGGCTCCAGAATGCAAAAAACAGGATGTACTACATTTGAATTTGCAAAATTGATCCAATATTATTCACAGAACTTTTTGGTAACAGATAGCATTCATAAAACGATGGAAATTTGTGAAGTAATACAATCAACTAATGCATCATTACAGAATTGAACCTATAGGCAAACATTAACATCTATCATGTGATTTGACGATTGCTGATTTTTTTAATCTTGAAAGAACGTAAGGGAGATTCTTAAAGGAAAAGATGGATGAGAAGGGTGCAGAATTGGACTTACACCAAAATGGAATTATTTCATACATACATCTAGCTGGATACTTTAGGAACAGTTTATTATTACAAACTGAGAATTATAATAAGGTTATATACAACCCATCTTCTGTTGCTAGGTCATGAGTGTCTAAGAAGAAAAATTTAGGTAAATACCTGAAAATTAGAAAATTTTAATTGGAATCATATCTGTCTATTTAGTTAATATGGAGATTTTCTAAAGATACAAGCAAATATCAAGCACAGAATTATCTTAATCTTTTGAGTACATTAATTATTTAAATTCTTAGAAAAAAGTTTTTATATTTCTAAAAGTCTATACACACAAATATATTCAGTTTTTCAAACATTAGACAATATATATGCAATTCTTGGATTGATTGGTTCATTCAAATATCATGGTCCTAACATCTCAGGAAAGCTCAGTTTTAAGGCTTTTTTTTTTTTCCTAAAATTAAGTCAATTCACCAAGTCACATCAACTTTTCAGTCTTGTTTTCTCATGTGAATTATAAAAGTTTAGTTTACAATGATTTATGAAAACACAGACACTCTAGAATTTATTGAATTTATATGAATTCTGGTAGAATAGTGTAGCACTGACAGTGACTTGAAATTAACATGAGAAATGTTTTATGTCTATAGCTCTTTTCACTGCCTGCTTTACATCCTTGTTTCTCAGACTGTATATCAATGGGTTTAACATGGGAATCACTAGTGTATAGAACACAGAAACTACTTTCTCCTGTTCCACAGAATACTGGGAGCTTGGCTGAATGTAGCTAAAGCTTAAGGTACCGTAGAATATGGCCATAGCAGTTAGGTTAGAGGCACAGGTGGAGAAGGCTTTCTGTCTGCCTGATGCTGAGCAGATCCTTAGGATAGCAAAAGCAATGAAGATGTAGGAAATGATCACAATCAAGAAGGTGGCCGTGGCAATGACTCCAGAGAAGGTTAACAGCAACAACTCATTCATGGAGGTGTCAGAACATGACAGCTTTAGCAGTGATACATAATCAATGAAATATGCAGCAAAAATGCACAATATAAATGAATTTCAAAAACAATATATTGAGTGAAGGAAGCCAGATAAGGAGTATATATGGTGTGATTCTTTGTATTTGAAATTAAAAAACAGAAAAAGACAAAATAAATCCAGGGATAGGATTCAGTTACCCAAGGATGGGGGGATGTTGTTTGGGATTAGGGTATGAGGAAAATCTCCTTATGGAGATTTGTATTTTAATGCAAGTGGCCTATGAGGATATAAAGCATAAGGAAACTTTCTTTGTTGTTGAATAAAGACATAAGCAAAATACATGTTTAAGACTAATCAAAGTGTGCAATTTAGATTCATATTTTGCTATATGTTTCTCAATGTATATATTTATTTTAATTGACAATAACTCTATATATTTATGGAGTACAATGTGATGTGATGATTTCATCTATATATGCACTGTAGAAAGATGGGTCATAGACTGTGCACCATGTTCCATAACAAAGTATCCTTAGAAGATATTCTCTTTGTTTGTTTGTTTGAGAGGGAGTCTTGCTCTGTCACCAGGCTAGAGTGCAGTGGTGCGATCTCGGCTCACCACAGCCACCGCCTCCCAGGTTCAAGAGATTCTCCTGCCTCAGCTTCCCAAGTAGCTGGGACTACAGGCATCCACCACCATGCCTGGCTAATTTTTTGTATTTTAGTAGAGACAGGGTTTCACTATATTGGCCAGGATGGTCTTGATCTCCTGACCGCATGATCCACCCGCCTTGGCCTCCCAAAGTGTTGGGATTACAGGCATAAGCCACCGTGCCTGGCCAGAAGACATTCTTAAATCAGAATAGATAGCATTATTCAGTGATAAATATCATGGTCTTTGAATGACACAAACATATCCACTGAACATCAAATAAAATATTATTAACTCAATCCTTCTTTAGCTAGATCTTAAGATGCTTGCAGAAATGTCAAGGCACTCTGATATTAGTTGCAATGTGATGTTCTAGAAGTTGGAATGAAAAGAGAAAGAGGGCTTAATTGATCATGGTTAATATATCTTACATTTGCAACTTTCACACCATGGGAGATGGTGTGTACTATCTTCAGTAGATCTTACTCTTGATAAGGTTGTACTAAACTTTATCCAACAGTGGTGTTATCTCAGAAAATAGGACAGTTGTTAGCATGGGCTTGCCATATGAAAGGACTAAGTATATATGTCACTTATTTAGAGATTAGGTTCTAATTTCAAATATTCTAGTTATCAAGTATGTGACTTCTGGAAAATTACATAGTTTGTCTGAGATTGGTGTGTTCTGAACATAGGAATAGTATTATCTAACTCACATGTAAGGGTTAAAAGATATATCTTTAACTCAGTGCCTATGATGTACTTTTAGATAAATAATAAATTCAAATAATGAATCTTTTATGATAATATGTCACAATTTCATCATGACTTTGGAACTATTCCAGTTTTACTAGGCTGAAGCTGATGGCAGCGTGATGAAGTATTTTCATTGTTACTTTAATTGCTGACTCAGTGTAATTGAGTGAGTACTTTTACATCGCATAGGTCCCCATGGATCTGTTCAGAGCATTTATGTTGTTTTCTTGAATTGTTCCTTATATATTCTCACTGGGAAAACGTATGATGGGCTAGATAATTAGCATGCATATGAAGGCAGCTTTTTAAAGTGTCTCAGATGATTTGGGCATAATGATCTGAATGAATTATATACTACTTCCTTAAGGAACATGCCAAAAAGAAGAGAAAGCCCATAAATTCTTCCTATCCAAAGGTAAAGTACAAGTAATTTGAGAGAAGACAATTTGATTCTTCATTAAAGGTGAGTGGACAAAAATTGTCATTGATTTTGATTATTACCTGGGTGTGAGTAATTTTCTATTGCTGTAGATTCTGGCAATAGACATTTGTAGGGTCACTGATAGTTGATTCCTTCAAATACACCACAAAAATTCAGTATCCCTCTTAATAACCGGGGTTCCCTGGAGTAGTGTGATGTTTGAGAATTATCCTATGAGTTGAACAGAGGTCCTAGATCTATTGATTTGTGAGAATCAATAGTAGCATTTAGATATAGCAAATGAAGAAAAATTCAAATACATTAGAAATACAAAACCAAGTCATCAATGATCTTATCTTTTTCTTTCCTTTTTTTTTTTTTTTTTTTTTTTTTTTTTTTTTTTTTGAGATGGAAGCTCGCACTGTCACCCAGGCTGGAGTGCAGTGGTGCAATCTCGGCTCACTGCAAGCTCCGCCTCCCAGGTTCACACCATTCTCCTGCCTCAGCCTCCCGCGTAGCTGGGACTACAGGCGCCCAACACCACGCCCGGCTAATTTTTTTTGTGTTTTTAGTAGTGACGGGGTTTCACTGTGTTAGCCAGGATGCTGACCTCGTGATCCGCCTGCCTTGGCCTCCCAAAGTGCTGGGATTACAGGCGTGAGCCACTGTTCCTGGCCAATGATCTCATCTATTAGAATCTAGAAAGGTTAAGATTCCCAGATACAATGCAAGATTTCCATCTCCATTTTTCATATAATCAGGAAGTACTATGAACACATGTAATAAAATATTTCAAAAATAGTGTTTTAAAATATGTATTTTCTTTTTTTCTTGCTTTTTTTAATTATACTTTAAGTTCTAGGGTACCTGTGCAGAATGTGCAGGTTTGTTACATAGGTATACATGTGCCATGGTGGTTTGCTGCACCCATCAACCCGTCACCTACATTAGGTTTTTCTCCTGATGTTATCCCTCCCCTAGCCCCCACCCGCTGAGAGGCCCCGGTGTTCCCCTCCCTGTGTTCCCCTTCCTGTGTCCCCTCCCTGTGTCCATGTTTTTCTATACAACATTTTACAAGCTTCAAATAATTTCTAGATAGTGATATTACATATATAAACTTGCATATTTTTGGTTTATTTTTACTGAGTTACTACTATTGTTTTCCTTTAAACAATAGGCATTACAAACTGATTAAGTAGACTGTAAAATAAATAGAAATAATTTTTAAAGTTATAGAGTTACCAATAAATCCCTGAACTATCATTAATTCCTAAAAGATTTCATGAAGGCTAAAGACTGAAAAATAATTCCTTTGCATACTTTTTTATCCTGTCTTTTCTATTGGTTATCCCTAAACAAGGGTATTTAAAATGTATGCATAATTATTCAAATACGTTAGAAATATACTTTTTTCCATAAGAAAAACAGGTAGGATACAAAATTGAGAAATCTTCAGAGGGAGATAATAATTGACAGTGACAATGGAAATAGACTGAATAAAAACTAAAACCATTTTAAGCAAAGTATTGACTTCAGATTGGTGGGATTGATGTTGGAATTCTGAATTTCCTTTGCAATTCAGTGCATCTTCTATTCTACCATAAAACCCTATGTGAGCAATTCCTGCAATACTGCAAATTTAAGATAAAGTTTTAGAAATAGAATAGTCATGGTTCTTATCTGTGGGAAAAGAAAGACCTAAAAGAGGGGTGAAGTTCAATGGAGAAACAGCAGACAGCTTCATTTAGGGAGAAGGAATGGAAGAGGGTCACTAACCTCCACTGTTGCCCCCTTCCCACATCTGTAGTCCATAGATGAAGTTGGCAAAATGTCTCCCACTAATGAGCAGATACCTAGAAGTGTTGCCAAATGCCACAGTGTGGCTGTGGACTGCACCTGCTCCAAACTGTAGTTTTGGATCTTTAGGTGGGTTTTCAGAGTTTTCTACCTGAGGGATGTGCAGGCTAAAGCTGACATTCCATTACATTATAATAAATCTATTCTACATTAGATCTGTGGAAAATTCCGTTACTATTCCAATTGAAAGTCACTCTCACAGAGTTCCAGATTTTCAATGAGTGGAAACTGAAGGAGAGGGGAATTTAAGTGGAATAGGCTAAGACATCTTCACTATCTGTATCAGGGACGTTCCACTTTCTTTTATTGACTTCCCGTGTATTTTTTAAATAAAGGGAGAAGTACTTTTCATTGAAATAGTTTTAATTACAGTATTATATCTCCATGAATACTCCACTGTACAATTCCAGAAAAAAAGTCATTCACTAATATATGATGTCCTAAATTCTCAAATTATTTAAATGATTTATAGAACCTACCATCTTCACAGTGTTTTATTACAGAAAATAAAGTACATATAATTAAATAGTCATCACTGAATATTGATTTAAATCATGTTTTTGCAGAAGTGGATCCAGATTATGTGTCTTGAAGCTTAGAAGAATTTGACTTTTTAGATAAAATTACACATACAAGTTGAAAGATAAATGGGAATATTTATTTAGAATAGAAAATTAGCTTTAAATTGTAATTAGTAAACAAACCCATGGCCACAAACTATATAAAATTTATTAATATAGTATGTTAATTAATCAAATGCCAAATGCATCTCAGCATACAGGTGGCAAGAGTATCCTTAGAAGACATTCTTAAGTCAGAATAGGTAGTATTATTCAGTGATAAATATCATAGTGTCTGAATGATATAAACATATCCATTGAACATCAAATAAACTATTATTAACTCAATCCTTCTTTAGCTAGATCCCACAATGCTTGCAGAAATGTCAAGTCACTATGATATTAGTTGAAGTGTGATATACTAGAAGTTGGAATGAAAACAGAAAGCAGCCTTAATTGATCATGATTATTATATCTTACATTTGAAATTTTACAAAGATATATCATTTTTGCGTGCATTCGTAAGTCCCCACACAAGACCCTGGAAGTGCAAATGAGGGACCCCAAATCTTAACCTTCATTATCTTATTGCCATCTCTACCTCTGTCTTTGAGAATATCAAAATTACAGAAAAGTTTTACAACAAAAGTGGAAGTGAACAAAAGAAAATCATGATACCATTGTGCAGATGAAAAGAGCATAATCTTTTTGTAATAATACCTATATGGCTGTGTTATTAACCGATATACTTCAAATATTGATGAAACTATTTAATCTATGTTGTTTCAGTGCATGTATTTTACATGAATTCCTCTTTTAGGAAAGTAGAAAATTTTGCTTTATATTTCATTTCTGAATCAAATGTAGAAATAATGTTTCTATTATCTATTGTGAATAACAATCTATTCTGTCTACAAATATTATAATTTGTTTAAATAGCACTACATGGAACAGCTAATAACCCAACTGTTTCTTCCTAGAAGAGATAACTGGACTAAATGGGCCAACACAATCTAACAGTGCTAACTGAATTCATTCTGATGGAACTCACAAGGCGGCCTGAGCTGCAGATTCCCCTTTTTGGAGTCTTCCTCGTCATCTACCTAATCACAGTGGTGGGCAACCTAACTATGATCATTTTGACCAAACTGGACTCCCACTTACATACACCTATGTACTTTTCTATCAGACATTTGGCTTTTGTTGATCTTGGTAATTCTACTGTCATTTGTCCCAAGGTGCTGGCAAATTTTGTTGTGGATCGAAATACTATTTCCTATTATGCATGTGCTGCACAGCTGGCATTCTTCCTTATGTTCATTATCAGTGAATTTTTCATCCTGTCAGCCATGGCCTATGACCGCTATGTGGCCATTTGTAACCCTCTGCTCTATTATGTTATTATGTCTCAGCGACTGTGTCATGTACTGGTGGGCATTCAATATCTCTACAGCACATTTCAGGCTCTGATGTTCACTATTAAGATTTTTACATTGACCTTCTGTGGCTCTAATGTCATCAGTCATTTTTACTGTGATGATGTTCCTTTGCTACCTATGCTTTGCTCAAATGCACAGGAAATAGAATTGTTGAGCATACTATTTTCTGTATTTAATTTGATCTCCTCCTTTCTGATAGTCTTAGTGTCCTACATGTTGATTTTGTTAGCTATATGTCAAATGCATTCTGCAGAGGGCAGGAAAAAGGCTTTCTCCACATGTGGTTCCCATTTGACAGTGGTGGTTGTGTTCTATGGGTCTCTACTCTTCATGTACATGCAGCCCAATTCCACTCACTTCTTTGATACTGATAAAATGGCTTCTGTGTTTTACACTTTAGTAATCCCCATGCTTAACCCTTTGATTTACAGCTTAAGAAACGAAGAGGTGAAAAATGCCTTCTATAAGCTCTTTGAGAATTGATGTCAACTTTGTGTTTAATAATCAATTTGTAATATTGTTATAATAAATATATAATATAGATTAATGTCACTTGATAATTTTTCATGTGTATATAAATTTTCCAATTTTCAAATTTTTTTAATTGTTTTTTATTTCAATAATTTTTGGGAAGTAGGAGGTTTCTGGTTATGTGAATAAGTTCATTGGGGTAATTTCTGAGGTTTTGGTGCACTCATCACCTGAGCAGTGTACACTGTACTCAATGTGTAGCCTTTTATCCCTCGCCCACACTGCACACTTTTCCCTGTGTCCCCAAAATACATTATGTCATTCTTACCTATTTGTATCCTCATAGTTTAGCTCCCACTTATAAGTGAGAACATATGATATTTGGTTTTCCATTCCTGAGTTACTTCACTTAGAATAAAGGTCTCCAGCTCCATCCAGGTTGCTGTGAATGCCATTATTTTGTTCCTTTTTATAAGTGAGTAGTATTCCATCATATATATATATACATATATATATATATACACACACACACACATATATATAGATAAAGAAAACGTGATATCTATATATATCATTTGATATATATATGGTATATATAAAGAAAATGTGATATGTATATCATATTCTGGTTATATGAGTCCACTTTTTGTCATATATATATCACATTTTCTTTATATATATCAGATTTTCAATGAGTAATCAGATTTTCGGATTTCATGAGATATATATGTGTGTGTGTGTGTGTGTGTATATATATATATATAGATCTCACATTTTCTTTATCCACTAGTTGGTTGATGGACATTTAGGCTGGTTACATACTACTGCAATTGCTAATTTCCCTGCTCTAAACATGGATGTGCAAGTGTCTTTTTCACATAATGACTTCTTTTCCACTGGGTAGATACCCAGGAGTGGGATTGCTGGATCAAGTGAAAGTTCTACTTTTACTTATTTAAAAAATCTCCATACTGTTTTCCAAAGTGGTTGTACCAGTTTACACTCCTACCAGCAGTGTGAAAGTGTTCCCTTTTCACCACATTCATGCCAACACTTTTTTTTTATTTTTAAATTATGGTCATTCTTGCAGGAGTAAGGTAATCTCATTGTGGTTTGATTTGCATTTTCCAGATACTTAGTGATGTTGAGCATTTTTAAATATTTTTTTGGTCATAAGTATATCTTCTTTTGGAGTTGTCTATTCATGACCTTTGTCCACTTTTTGATGGGATTATTTGTTCACTTCTTGCTGATTTGCTTGATTTACTTGTAGATTCTGGATATTAGTCCATTGTTGAATGTTGTAGTCCGAAAGAGTGAGGGTTGTGATCAACTCAGTATACCACTGGAGGCTATATGAGTAAACAGCAAACTATTCTCGTAAATGCAGAATGTTGGCAAAATGACAAACTATGTCTGATGCCCAGAAGGAATGCTGAGGGTAGTCATGCCCTAGGCACAGTGTTTCTTGTGATTAGGCACATCGGAAGCCTGTTAGCAATAATGTGAACCTGTGATCAATTAAGCAGCTGACCAATCGTTACCTCCTCCTCCTTGCTGTTTCTACCCAATAAATACGAAGGGCTGTAGAATCTCAGGGCTACCTTTGCAGACTAGAAGCAAGGAGCCCTCTTCTTCTTCCCCGGACCCTCTCTTTAAAATAGTTTCTCATGTTCTAAGTTTTCATTTCTGTGTTCGTCCTTCATTCAGTCCCATGGTAACCGTAGTAAGAGTGGCAAACCATGACAGTTAAATGCATAGTTTGCAAATATTTTTTTCCATTCTTTGGGTTGTCTGCTTACTCTACTGATTATTTACCTTGCTATGCAGAAGCTATTTAGTTTAATTAGGTCCCATTTATTTATTTTTGTTTTTGTTGCTTTTGCTTTTGGGTTATTTTTCATGAACTTTTTTCCTAAACCAATGTCTATAAGAGTTCTTCCAATGTTATCTTCTAGGAAACTTATGGTTTCATGTTTAGATTTAAGTCTTTGATCCATCTTGAGTTGATTTGTGCATAAGGTGAGAGATAAGGATCCAATTTTATTCTTCTACATGTAGCTTGCCAATTATCCCAGCAGCATTTGTAATAGGTTGCCCTTTCCCTACTTTATGTTTATGTTTGCTTTGTCAAAGATCAGTTGGCTGTCTTTGGCTTTATTTCTGGGTTCTCTATTCTGTTCCATTGTTCTATGTGCCCATTTTTATACTAATACCATACTGCTTTGGTAACCATAGCCTTATAGCATAAAGTCTGGTAATATGATGCCTCCAGATTTGTTATTTTTGCATAGTCTTGCTTCAGCTATGCAGGCTCTTTTTTTGTTCCATATGAATTTTAAGATTGTTTTTTCTAGTTCTGTGAAGAATGATGATGGCAGTTTAATGAGAATTGCATGGAAACTGTAGATTGCTTTTGGCAGTATGGTCATTTTTACAATATTGATTCTACCCATCCATGAGCATGGGATGTTTTCATTTGTTGGTGTTGTCATTGACTTCTTTCAGCAGTGTTTTGTAGTTTTGCTTGTAGAGCTCTTTCACCTCCTTGGATATGTATATTCCTAAGTATTTTATTTTATTTTTTGCAAATATTATAAAAGAAATTGAGTTCTTATTTGTTTCTCAGCTTGGTCATTGTTGGTGTACAGCAGTGCTACTGATTTGTGTACATTGATGTGTGTATCCTGAAACTTTACTAAATTCACTTATGAGATCTAGGAACTTTTTGAATGAGTCTTCAGGGTTTTCTAGGTACATAATCATATCATCAGTGAGTGATGTTTTCTTTGGCTGGGGTTGGGTTTCGTTTGTTCTTTTTTCTCTATTCTCTAAAATGTGACCTTGGATTGTCTATTTGTGCTCTTTCAGACTTTTTGGTGCAGGTATTTGATGCTATGAACTTTCCTCTTAGCACCATTTTTGCTGTATCTCAGAGGTTTTGATAAGTTGTGTCACTATTATCATTCAGCTCAAATAATTTTTAAATTTTAACCTTGATTTCATTGTTGACCCACAGATCATTCTAGAACAGATTATTTAATTTCCATATATTTGTATAGTTTTAAGGTTTCTTTTTGAAGTTAATTTTATTCCAATATGTTCTCAGAGGATACTTGATATAAATTTGATTTTCTTAAATTTATTTTTTAATTAATTAATTCAAATTTGTGAGACAGAGTCTTGCTCTTTTGCCCAGGCGGGGTGCCAAGGGCATGATCTCAGCTCACTGCAATTCTCTGCCTCCAGGGTTCAAGTGATTCACCTGCCTCAGCTTCCCAAGTATCAGGGATTACGGGCACACACAACTACTCTCAGCTAATTTTTTGTATTTTTAGTAGAGATGGAGTTTCACCATGTTCACCAGGCTAGTCTTGAACTCCTGACCTCAAGCGATCCATCTGCCTTTGCCTCCCAAGGTGCTGGGATTACAGGTGTGAGCCACTGTGCCAAACCATATTTTCTTAAATTTATTAAGACTTGTTTTGTGACCTATCATATGGTCTGTTGTCTTGGAGAATGTTCCATGTGCTAAAGAAAAGAGTGTATATTTTGCAGTTGTTGGGTAGAATGTCCTGTAAATATCATTAAGTCCATTTGTTCTAGGGTATAGTTTAAGCCCATTGTTTCTTTGTTGACTTTCTGTCTTGATAACCTGTCTAGTGCTGTCAATGGGGTGTTGAAGTCTCCCACTATTATTTAATAAAACAAAAATTACTAGACCTAAGAAATGAGACAGACCATAATCTCATTTAAAGATAGACACTGTCTATTTCATTTCTTAGATCTAGTGATTTTTATATTATAAATTTGTGAGCTCCAGTGTTAGGTGCATATATATTTAGGATTGTTACATTTTCCTGTTGGACTAATCCTTTTATCATTATATAATATCTCTCATTGTCTTTTTGAAGTGTTGTTGCTTTAAAATCTGTTTTATTTGATATAAGGATAGCTACTTCTGTTCACTTTTGGTTTCCATTTTGGTGGAATATCTTTTTCCACCCCTTTACCTTATGTTTATGTGAGTCCTTATGTGTTAGGTGAGTCTCTTGAGACAGTAGACACTCGATTGGTGGATTTTTTTCATTCTACCATTCTGTACCTTTTAAGTGGAATATTTATGCCATTTACATTCAATGTTAGTATTGAGATGTGAAGTAATGCTCTATTTATCATGCTAGTTGTTGCCAAAATACCCTGTTTTTTCCATTGTGTTATTATTTTATAGGCCTTTTGAGATTTACGCTTTAAGTAGGTTTTATTTTGGTATACTTTGAGGTTTGTTTCAAGAATCAGAACTCCTTTTAACATTTCTTATAGTACTAGCTTATTAGTGGCAAATTCTCTCAGGATTTCTTTGTCTGAAAAATCTTTATCTCTCCTTCATTTATGAAGCTTAGTTTTGCTAGATACAAAATTCTTGGTTGATAATTATTTCATTTAAAGAGGCTAAATATAGGACCCCAGTCCCTTCTGGCTTGTTGGGTTTCTGCTGAAAAATTTGTCATTAATCTGATAGGCTTTCCTTTACAGGTTAGCTGATACTTTTGCCTCACAGCTTTTAAGATTCTTTCATTCATCCTGACTTTATATAATCTGATAACTATGTGCCTAGGCGATGATCTTTTTGTCATGAATTTCCCAGGTGTTCCTTGAGCTTCTTGTATTTGAATGTCTAGACCTCTAGCAAAGCCAGGGGTATTTTCATCAATTGTTTCCCCAAATAACTGTTCCAAATGTTTGTATTTCTCTTCTTCTTCACAGACACTAGTTATTCTTTGGTTTGGCCATTTAAACATAATCCCAAGTTTCTTGGAGGCTTTGTTTATTTTTTATTCTTTTTTGTCTTTATCCAATTGCATTAATTTGAAAACCTTGTCTTCTATCTCTGAAGTTCTTTCTTCTGGTTGTTCTAGTCTATTGTTTAAACTTTCCACTATGTTTTGTATTTTTCTAAGTGTGTCTTCCATTTCTAGAAGTTTTGATTGTTTTTTTCTTTATGATGTCTATTTCTCTTCAGAATTTTTCATCCATATGCTGTATTTTTTTTAAAAAATGTCTTTAAGTTGGTTTTAACTTTCTCTGGTATCTCCTTGAGTAGCTTAATAATCAAACTTCAGAGTTCTTTATCAAGCAATTCAAATATTTCTTCTTGTTTTGGCTATTGTTTGGAAGCTGGTGTGAACTTTTGGGGGAGTTATAGAACGATTTTTTGTCGTATTACCAAAATTACTTCTCCCCCTTTTTTTTCTCATTTGGGTAGACTGTTTCAGTGGAAAGGTCAGGAAATCGAGGTCTGATGTTCAGATTCTTTCATCCCACAAGGTGGTCTCCCTGATATGGTGCACTCCCCCCTTCTCCTAGGGATGGAGCTCCTGTGAGGCTTACTGCAGGGGTTGTTGTTGCTCTTCTGGGTCCAGCCACCCAGGGGACAACCAGGCTCTGGGCTGGTGCTAGGGAATGTCTGCAAAGAGTACTGTGATGCAATCCATCTTCAAGTCTCCCAGCTGCGGATACCAACACCTGCTTTCTTGGGGTTGGCAGGGAGTGAAGTAGACTCTGTAAGAGTTCTTTGTTGTAGATCTCTTTAGTGTGCTGGCTTTCTCAAATGCCGGTTATGCTAGCAGTAAAATTGTCACATGGACAGACTCAGGACCTCTGGTTAACCAGGAATTTGCATGCAATGGAATTAGGTGTTGTCTTCTTTTCCCTGAGATTGAGGTTATTCTGTCATGAGTTGCTTGTTGTATTAGGATTCTCTAGAGGGACAGAACTAATAAGATGGTTGTATGTATGAAGGGGAGTTTATTAATGGGTATTGACTCACACAATTACAAGGTGAAGTCCCACAACAGGCTGTCTGCAAGCTGAGGAGCAAGGAAGCCAGTCTGAATTCCAAAACCTCAATAATAGGGAAGCCAACAGTGCAGCCTTCAGTCTGTGGCCAAAGTCTTGAGCACCCCTGGCAAACCACTGGTGTAGGTTCAAGAGACCAAAAGCTGAAGAATCTGGAAAATGATGTTCAAGGGCAGGAAGCATCCAGGACGAGAGAAAGATGAAGGCCAGAAGACTCAGCAAATCTCCTCTTTCCAATTTCGTATGCCTGCTTTATTTAGCCACACTGGCAGCTGATTAGATGGTGCCCGCCCAGATTGAGGGATGGTCTGTCTCTCCCAGTCCACTGACTCAAATGTTAATTTCCTTTGGCAACACCCTCACAGACACACTCAGGAACAATAATTTGCATCTCTCAATCCAATCAAATTGACAATATTAATCATCACAGTTGGCCTCCAGCCAGGAGGTGGTGCTTTCAAGAGAGCACCAGCTACAGTAGTTGTAGGGGGAACTAAGCTTGCCCTAAGTTGGCCAGGGTAAGTATTTTGGTTTCTTAGGTAGTAGGAGGGGCCATAAAGCTCTCAAGAGTTTCAATGTTTTGTGTTCAGCTACCAGGGTGGGTAGAGAAATACCATTATCTGGGGACAAGGTTAGGCAAGTCTGGGCTTAGACTATCCTTGCGTTGGGCTTGCTGCAGCCACTGTAGGTAATGGGGGAATGGTTCTTGAAAGGCAATGGAGGGGCACCGTGGATCAATAAGGCCAAGAGGCGAGACAAAGAGGGCAAAAATCTTCTTTAGTGAGTTCTCGGGCGAGGTTCACTGGTCTGCAGGGGGAGGGCCAGGGAAGTCGTGCTGTGCCAGAGGTGCAGCGCACTTATATGGATGCTGGGTGGGGAGTGGGCAGGATAGGGGCGGGGTCGGTTGAGTTTCCCACTTCTGAGTGTGGCATGCCCTAGTGGGCATGCGCGTTGGTCCAGGTGGCAGGAACAGGAAGGGTGAACCCGGAAATGCTGAGTCAGGGTACCTGAGGTGGCTGTCGGGAGGGCAGGAATAAATGGCGGGAATAAGCGAAAATGCCAAGTCAGGGTGGCCAAGATGGCCACTGGGATGGCGGGAACTGGCGAATCCGGGAGTGCTGAGTCAGGGTAGCCAAGATGGTTACCCATCGCCATCTTGGAGTCTTCACCGGAGTCCAATCAGTTCTCAGGCCAATGGGGATCTTGGCCACCTTTGCTATGCCATATAATTCACTCAGGAAGTGGGGGATAGCCTGTTGCCAGAGGTCCCACACAGCTTTCACGCAGTTGGAAACACTGGTCCTACTCTTGCAGTGTCCCCCAGCTCAGACCTTGCTCCAGGCTGTGATCTACCCAGCTGAGAAAGCAAGCATGGCTTTGGACCTCATCCCTCCCTATCTACCCACTCCATCAGCAACTCCTGACCTCCTACACTCATATCTGCAGCAGCTCCTGCTCATCCTCTGGACTCTGCTCGAGTAAATTGCTGCCCAGTCAAAACCACTACCAATTGCAGCTGGAAGCTTTCTTCACCCTGTGACCACTCCCCAGTTCTTCTGGCTGCCTTCTCTGATGGACCCTGTGAGATACAGTCAGGGATAGCTTACTTGGGTTCAAGCTGGAGACTGGGAATGCCTGCAAAGCACCATCCACTGCTGCTTCTACTTTTATATTTTTGTACAACTTCGTAAATCCATTTTAGTTCTAGGTAAGATTAAATCCTTCTCCCGTGATCTGGGTTTTCAGATTTTCCAGTGATAATGTGTGTTTAGAGTCAGGGTTTCCCCCTCTCACACTTTGGGAACTCAGTTTTTTGCTTGTCTCATGGAATTTGCAGTAGTGTGCTGTTTTTTCAAAGGGCCTATTGAGGGAGGAGAAAGGAAAAAACTCAGTCAGGCAGGTAGTTAGGGCGGGTCCTCAGTTGACTCCTTTCAAACAAAAGAACAGCCTGCAGGCACAGATAAGAGAACTTGCACAAGGGGGCTTGCCTAAGACATCCCCATAGCAGTACAGATAAGAAAGACTACACAGGTGACTTTCCCATACATGCCTGCAATGGAAAATTCCATCCCCTGACACATGCATAGTAAGGGGAACAAAGCAATATGGAGTAACTCAAGCTAAGGGCCCACATGTGCACTAGGAGGACAGGATGAAGCTACCAGAAATTTGTGCCTTGTGCAAATGAAACACCCCAGCCCTCATCAGTGCAACCATCTTCCAGGTCTCCTCTCCACAGTGGAGAACTTTCTTCTTTTGCTTATTAAACTTTGACTCCAACCTCACTTTTTGTGTCCATGCTCCTTAATTCTCTTGGTCCTGAGACAGAGAACTTCAGGTGATACCTCACATCAACAGACTACTACGTTGTGGTGCATGGGCATGACTGTAGCACTATGTATTCTTTTGGTTTTCCTGATATGTTTCCGCAGTAGTTCTAAGAGCAAAAAATCGTGGTATGATTCTCCACATGCTGTTCTGTCCGTCTAAGTGTGAGCTACACGTTAGCCCTGTCTCCTGCCAATCATCTTCTCCACTTGATAATATTTTCATGTATAAATAATTGTATTAATTTGGGCTTGAGAGCAAAAACTGATTACAACACATCTCACAATACTCTGTCATCCAACAGCATATAGCTGGATCACATCGTTGTTGTTTACATTCATTCTACTATCCGTACTTTTTAATTATAATTACTGAGTTTAATTCATGTAAAATTAAAGAAATTGTGGACGATAGAGGACTTATTACTGGTATATTGCTACCTGTTTTTTCTTGTTTGTTTTGTTTTTTTTGAGATGGAGTCTTGCTCTGTCGCGCAGGCTGGAGTGCAGTGGCGAGATCTCGGCTCACTCCAAGCTCCGCCTCCCGGGTTCATACCATTCTCCTGCCTCAGCCTCCTGAGTAGCTGGGACTACAGGCACCCGCCACCACGCTACCTGTTTTCTTTATGTCATATATATTAATGTTTGTTCATCCTTTTCTCCAATAGGTTGTTTTCCTTATATTCAGCCAAGTGAAACATCATATTTTATATCTCAATTATGTGTCATCTCTTTATCAGCATATTTTGCTGCTGATTCAGCGTTTTCTTCAGTGATTCTATAGAACCTCATATTTCTCCTCTTCAAAATACTTTTAAAAAGCTACATCAGTACACTATGGGTGTGTTAATAACATTTTTTTCTTTATTGAATATACATTTTTCCAATTATTTTTTTTTAATTTTCCAGACATAAAACAACAGTATAAACAAAGTAAATCTATTCCATACCATATATAGTTGAATCACATCATTGTTTTAATTCATTCTACTATCTCTGCCTTTTAATTGGAGAGCTTAATTTGTGTACATTTAAAATAACTGTGAATAATAGAGTACTTCTTTCTGGCATATTGCTATTTGTTTCCTATATGTCATATCTATTAACGTGTGTTGTTCATCCTTCCCTCAATTACAAGTTCATCTTGTTTTTGTGGCTGAACATTAAATTGTGGGTGGTTATAAGGAACATACTCAAGTATATTAAAATAATGATCAGGGAATATAAGCTGAAAAATTCCCAGAGACTGCACAGGGCAGGAAGACATTCGAGTTAAGTCAATGTAGAGTGAGTCCTTGTTCAATAAATGGGCATTTGATAGAAACCTCAGAGGTAAAGTCTGCATTAAACTCTAATCATACACCTTCAAACAAGTCACAAAAGGAGCCAACTGATACTTGTCTTAAACATTTAACATTATTTTAGAGAAACAAACCAGCAAACAAATAAACTTATGGCATCCATTAACATAAAATTCACAATCTTCAGCATCTAGTCATAAATACTAGACATATGGGAAAAGAGCAATGGGTGAGCCTATCCATGAGATAATTAAAATAAAACAGAAAAGACATAATGATAGAATTAGCAGGTAAGGACTCTAAAATAACTGTTATAAATATGTTTAATGTATTGAATCATTTAGCAAAATTAACACTGTAAGAAAACAAGTGAAAATTAAAAAAAATAAAAATATGGTAATTCTAAAGGTGGAACTTCAAGCTAAATATCCATCAATTCATGAAAGGACAACAAAAACAGGTGGTATATACATACAATGGAATACGGAGGGTCTTCGTAAAGTTCATGGAAATATGAGATGTCTAAACAAGACCTAGTCTGATACACTAAGAAGGATAAGCCATTACTTTGAAAAGAGCCCCTGTCAGAGCAACATGAATTCTGCTAAAGCAATAAATTTTGTCAAATGTGAGTGGAAGAATGGTGGAATTACCGATGCTTTACAAAAATTTTGTGAGGACAATGCCCTCCAGAGAAATCAGCAGTTTTTTGTTTTTTTGTTTTTTTGATACGGAGTCTCACTCTGTTGCCCAGGCTGGAGTGCAGTGGCACGACTTCGGCTCACTGCAACCTCTGCCTCCCTGGTTCAAGCAATTTTCCTGCCTCAGCCTCCTGAGTAGCTGGGATTACAGGTGCCTGCCACCATGCCCATCTAATTTTTATTTTTAGTAGAGACAGGATTTCACCATGTTGGCCAGGATGGTCTCGATCTCCTGACCTCATGATCTGCCTGCCTCGGCCTCCCAAAGTGTTGGGATTACAGGCGTGAACCACTGCACCGTGCCTACAAATGTATCAATCATTGTAATCAGGGATAAGATGATGATAAAAGAAGAGCTGAAGCTCTCAGAGACAAACCATGTGCATTAATTCACAAGGAAAAAAATTCATCCTGTTCATACCCTACTTGAAAAGGACTAGCAATTAACAGCAGAAACAGTAGCCAATAACATTGACATCTCAATTGGGTCAGCTTTCATAATTTCTGTGTAAAAAATTAAAGTTGAGCTAACTCTTTACCATTAAAAACCATTGCACCCAGATGAGTTGCAGACAAGAGCAGAGCTCTCAATAGAAATTTTGAGGGCTGGGTGCAGTGGCTCACTCCTGCAATCTCAGCACTTTGGGAAGCTGAGGTGGGCAGATCATGAGGTCGGGAGTTCAAGACCAGCCTGTCCAATATGGTGAAACCCCTTCTCTACTAAAAACACAAAAATTAGCCAGGCTTGGTGGTATGCGCTTGTAATCCCAGCTACTCAGGAGGCTGAGGCAGGAGAATTGCTTGAATTCAGGAGGCGGAAGTTGCAGTGAGCGGAGATCGCACCATTGCACTCCAGCCTGGGCGACACAGGCTGGAGTTGCCTTTCTCTTTCTTGGGAAAAAAAAAAAAAAGGAAATTTTGAACAGGTGGGATTGAGATCCTGAAGGATTTCTTCAAAGAATTGTAACAGGAGATACAACATGGTTTTACCAGTATGGCCCTGAAGATGAAGTACATGAGATAAAAATTACAACAGGAGGTAAAACATGGTTTTAGCAGTATGGCCCTGAAGATACAGCACAATCAATCCAATGACTGCCAATAGGGGGAAGTGGTTCAGACAAAGCAAAAGCAGACAGGTCAAGAGAAAACATCATGGCAATGGTTTTTTTGAGACACTCAAGAATTTTGCTTGTTGGTTTTCCAGAGGGACAAAGAAGATAGTATCTGCTTATTATAACTATGTATTGACAGAGAGTTAGCCAAAGTTTTAGCAGTCAAATACACAGGAGAGCTTTACCAGAAAGTCGTTCTCCACCAAGACAAGGCTCCTACTCATTACTCTCATCAAACAAGGGCAATTTTGTGATAGTTTTGATGGAAAACCATTAGGCCTCCATCCTACTGTCTGATTTGGCTCCTTACGACTCTTTTTTTTTGTTTGCTAGTCTTCAAAATTCTACAATGGAAACCCATTTTGTTTCAATTAATAATGTAAAAAAGAATGTATTGACATGGGTAAATTTCCGAAACACACAGTCCGTCAGACATGAACTAATTTTGACTGGTGTCATCACTTACAAAAAGTGTCTTGAACTTGATGGCACTCACGTTAAAAAAAAGTTTACATTTTATTGTTATCCTTTAATTCAATTTTGCCATGAGCTTTTATTCCTCTTTATATTATTTCACCATCAAAAAGATAAAAATCCTATTATTTGCAACAACATGAATAGAACTGGAGTACATTATGAATACAATTAAAGCTCAGACTTCACCACTATGCAATATATCTACACAACAAAACTGTACTAGGACCCCTTAAATTCCTACAAATAAACAAAAAATGTTCTGAAGAGATCAGATATATTTTTCCACACAAAAATAAAGGTAAAAGAATCCAGAAGTCTTCAGAGGAAGGTAATAACTAACGTTGGAAATGAAGAAAAGCTAACAAACACTAGAAGAATTCTTAGCAAAATTTAAACACTTCGAAGTGGTAAGATTGGTGCTGGAAATCTGAATTCCTTTGATCAATCCAGTGTACCTCCTATTCTACAATAAACCCTATGATAGCAGGCCCTGAGATTTTGGAAATTCAAAATAAAGTTTCCAAAAGGAGTTTCTTTCTAGTTATTGCTTGTAAGACAGGAAGAGGCCAGAAAGGAAGAGTGAGGCTCTACGGAGAAACAGAAGATGGCTTCATCTGGGAAGAAGGTTGTAAGTGGCTCACTAGCTCTCCTGTATTGTACTCCCCTTCTGTCCTCATTCCCTGGACAATGTGGAACAGCCTATACATATGAATTATCAGATCTTAGAATCGCTACCACCTGCCAGTTAGCTCCAGGCTCCAGCTGCTCCAGAATGTAGATGTGGACCAAGGGGTTGTCTCCCAAAAGTTTCTACCTGATAGTTGTGCAGGCTGATGATGGCATTCGGTTAAATTATAATTCTATTCTGCATTTTATCTAACTAAATATCTTGAAATCCAATTACCTTTCCGATTAAAAAGTATCCAGGCTTTCACTGAGTTAACAGTGAATGTGATAAGAGGAGAATCCAAGAGATTAGGAAAAAGCCACTTCATTATTTTTAATTAGACCAGTTCCACTTTGATTGACTGACTGCATGTTAATTTTGTTAAATGGAGAGGCTGTACTTATTACAGAAATATTTGTAAATCACAGTGTTATACTCTATAAATACCAAAAATAATTGCATAATTCCAGAAATAATAAGATATTAATTCGTGATGTAATACATTTAATATGTATTATGTATACATATGCAATATGTCAATTATATGTGTGTAAATATCTATTATGTAATATGCATTATGAATACATTTAGAAATATATGTATCTATGTATTTACAGACTGGGTCTCACTCTGTTGCTCAAGCTGGAGTGCAATGGCACAACTTCACTGCAGCCTGGAACTCCTGGGCTCAAGCAATCCTCCCACCTCAGCCTCCTGAGTAGCTCGGATTATAGGTGTAAGCCACCGCACCAAGCAAATAAATATTTGTGTATGCTTTATAGATGTTATTATCTCCATATCATTATATAAAAGGAAATAAAGTACATAAAATAAATTATCACAAACTATGTTTATTAAATATAAATAATTTATTTTAGCCAAATATAATCATTTATTTAGCCATAAATATAAATCATTTATTTTAAACACATCTTGTGTGTCTTGACACTTAAACTAATTTGGAAGTTTACTTCAAGAAAATACACTTACAACTTGAGACATAAATATAAACATTTATTTACAATAAAAATATTTAATTTTTTCAATTTCAAATTAATAGTCAAAAATCATAAAATCTATAACTATAATAATTTTATTTTAACCATTTTTTTTTTTTGAGATGGAGTTTCACACTTGTTGCCTAGGCTGGAGTGCAAGAGAGTGATCTTGGCTCACTGCAACTTCTGCCTCCCAGGTTCAAGTGATTCTCCAGCCTCAGCCTCCTGAGTACCTGGGATTACAGGCACCCACCACCACAACTGGCTAATTTTTTTGTACTTTTAGTAGAGATGGCATTTCACCATGTTGGACAGGCTGGTCTCAAACTCTTGACCTCAGGTGATCCACCTGCCTCGGCCTCCCAAAGTGCTGAGATTACAGATGTGAGCCATCACGCCTATTAATGAAATTCCGGAAACATCTCTGCATACTATGTGGTAACAGCACTCTGGGTAGTCATTTCTGCACCAGAATAGATAGCATTATTAAATAATAAATGTCATCGATTTTTGAACGATATGAATATACCCACTAAACATCAAGTAAAGTATCATTAACTCAATCTCCTTTTGCTTGTACCCTACAAATGCCTGCAGACATGATAATGCACTATGATATCAGTTAAAGTGTGATAGGTGGTAGTCAGAATGGGAAGAAAGGTGGGCTTAATTGATTGTGGTTAAAATATCTTGCTTTTGCAACTTTGGCAAAGATGTACTTCATTGTGAATTTATTACTAAAGTCCCACCCAGGGAGCAGAGAGGGGCCTAGATCTTAACCTTTATTAGCTGCATGGTATCTCTGACTCTTTAAGAATATAAAGTTCCACCAAAATTGTCAAACATAATAGAAATGTACTAAAGAAAAACTGTGATACCATTATGTAGAGGAAATAAAGTCTAATATTCATATATTGATACACATAGAGCTTTGCTATCAATTGATATGCACATTCTATTAAGAATTTAATATATGCTGTGTCAATGCAATATGTTATATTTATCCCTGCATTTGAAAAGTAGAAGATTCTATCATTTTTTTTAGTTTTAGAATCAGATGTTTAGAATTAGTTATTTATATTAAGTTATATTCGAATTATACCCTATTATAAATAAAAAAATTTATTCTGTTCTGTTCACAAACATAATAAATTGTTTGAGTGATACTAAATGAAAGCTTATAATACCTGTTTCCTCCAAAAAGGTGTAATTGGACTAAAAGGGGCAAAATAATCTAACAGTGAAGACTGACTTTAATGAAGTCACAGGATGCCTCAGAATTCCAAGTAGCTGGGATTACAACAGACATGCACCACCATGTCTGGCTCATTTTTGTATTTTTTTTTTTTTTGGCCAACTATTTAATTATTTGTTTATTTATTTTTTAATTAATTTATTTATTTTTATTGATCATTCTTGGGTGTTTCTCGCAGAGGGGGATTTGGCAGGGTCATAGGACAATAGTGGAGGGAAGGTCAGCAGATAAACAAGTGAACAAAGGTCTCTGGTTTTCCTAGGCAGAGGACCCTGCGGCCTTCAGCAGTGTTTGTGTCCCTGGGTACTTGAGATTAGGGAGTGGTGATGACTCTTAATGAGCATGCTGCCTTCAAGCATCTGTTTAACAAAGCACATCTTGCACCGCCCTTAATCCATTTAACCCTGAGTGGACACAGCACATGTTTCAGAGAGCACAGGGTTGGGGGTAAGGTCATAGATCAACAGGATCCCAAGGCAGAAGAATTTTTCTTAGTACAGAACAAAATGAAAAGTCTCCCATGTCTACTTCTTTCTACACAGACACAGCAGCCATCTGATTTCTCAATCTTTTCCCCACCTTTCCCCCTTTTCTATTCCACAAAACCGCCATTGTCATCATGGCCCGTTCTCAATGAGCTGTTGGGTACACCTCCCAGACGGGGTGGTGGCCGGGCAGAGGGCCTCCTCACTTCCCAGTAGGGGCGGCCGGGCAGAGGCGCCCCTCACCTCCCGGACGGGGCGGCTGGCCGGGCCGGGGGCTGACCCCCCCACCTCCCTCCCGGACGGGGCGGCTGCCAGGCAGAGACGCTCCTCACTTCCCAGACGGGGTGGCTGCCGGGCGGAAGGGCTCCTCACTTCTCAGACGGGGAGGCTGCCGGGCGGAGTGTCTCCTCACTTCTCAGACGGGGCGGCCGGGCAGAGACGCTCCTCACCTCCCAGATGGGGCGGTGGGGCAGAGGCGCTCCCCACATCTCAGAAGATGGGCGGCCGGGCAGAGACGCTCCTCACTTCCTAGGTGGGATGGCGGCCGGGAAGAGGCGCTCCTCACTTTCTAGATGGGATGGCGGGCGGGCAGAGACGCTCCTCACTTTCCAGACTGGGCAGCCAGGCAGAGGGGCTCCTCACATCCCAGACGATGGGCAGCCAGGCAGAGACTCTCCTCACTTCCCAGACGGGGTGGCGCTAATTTTTGTATTTTTAAGTAACAGGGTTTCACCATGTTGGCCAGGCTGGTCTCGAACTCTTGACCCCAAGTGATCCACACATCTTGGCCTTCCAAAGTACTGGGATTACAAGCATGAGGCACTGTACCCAGCCAGCTTAACTTCTTGTGATGTCTCCCTCATCACCTACCTGATCACAGTGATGAGCAACCTGGGCATGAATATTTTGACCAAACTAGACTCCCACCTATACACACCTGTTGTATATTTTTTAATCAAACACATATTTTTCATTGATTTTTACAATTGTATTGTTATTTACACCAATAAAATGTTAAATTTTGTTGTGGATCAGAATAACATTTCCTATTATGCATGTGCCACACATATGACTTTCTTATGTTCATTATCACTGAACTTTTAATCTTGGTAAGCATGGCCTATGATTGCTATGTGGTGAACTCCAACCCTTTGTTTTACATTGTTATCATGTGTCTGTGACTGTAACATGTGCTGATGAGCATTCCATACCTCTGTAATACATTTCAATCTCTAATTATCACAATGACCTTTTTTTGACCTTCTGTAGCTTTATCATCAGTCATTTCTATTGTTATGATGTTCTCTTCTTCCATATGCTATGCTCAAATGCACAGGAAAGAGAATTGTTGATCACACTGCTTACAGCATTTAATTTGATCCCTACCTCCTGGTATTGCTAGTGTTAAACATTCTGATTTTGTTAGCCATATGTTGAATGCATTCTGCACTGGGCAGGAAAAAAGCTTTCTCCATGTGTGGTTCTCATCTTACAATGGTGGTTATGTTCTATGGATCTCTACTTTTTGATATGGATAAATGGCCTCCTTGTTCTACACTTTAATGATCCTCAGGTTTAACCTCTTGATCTACAGCTTTAGCAACTTAGGGGTTAAAAATGTCTTTTATAGAGTCTTTAAGAATTAGTGCAAACTTTGTCTTTACAGTACACTATGGAACATTGTTCCAATAAATTATGAGAAAATATTTATCACTTGATAGTGTTTCTAATAGATATAATTACATTCTTTATGACTCTACAAAAAGAACCATTTTAACACTTCAAAAATAGATTGTTCTCATTATAATCAGCCAATTAACCCTCATATTATAGAATTCAATTAAAATACCACTTCCTTCGAAAATGTCTTTCTTCTGATTTACTATTTTCTTTAGTGATCTCATACCTTATATTCTACCAGTGGAACACACATTAAGCTACATTTTAGTAAGCTATATCTTTATTTTGTAGGGGTTTTGCCTTTTTTTAAAATAGGATGTACATTCTCAATCTTGTTTTCATTTTATTTAAACAAAGTGAGTCAGACTCATGCAGATAGCATATATTTGGATCACGTGGTTTTTTTGGTTTGTTTAATTTATTCTGTCAATTTCTTTCTTTTAATTGGAGAATGTAATCCATGTCCATTTAAAGTTATCACAGATAATGGAGAACATCCTTTTGGCATATTGCTATTTGTTTCCTATAGGTCCTATCCTTATTGTTGGTCATCCTTTCCTCCATAAGTTTTCTTGAGATTTTGGCTGAACCCTAGACTTGTGCATGACATAAAGCTGTTAAAAGAATGACCAGGAAATTGTGTGCTGAAACATTTCATAGAAACTACACAGGGCAGGAAGACATTAGAATTCTAAAAAGTCATAGTGGAAAGTCCTTTTACAAGACATAGACATCCAGTAGAAATCTCAGGAACAAAGCTATTTTAAACCCCTTTGCCAGCTTGAAAACAAGTCTCGAATAGAGTCAACTGATAACTGACAGCACGACAAGGTGACTAAAGTCAATAATTACTTGTACATTTTAAAACATTTATCATTCTTTTAGGAAAACAAATTAAAATAAAACACAGCAATTATTCTTATAAAATTTACAATATTCAACATCCAATCACAAATTCTAGTCCTATGAGAAAGCAGCAGTGTGCAACCTTCAAAATGTTATTATAGATGTTGGATATACTGAATGATTTAGCACAAATACCAACACTGTGAGAAATAAATGAAAATACAATATTACATATGAACAAATATTTATTGAGTAAAAAACATACACTGAAAAAGAAAAGATGTGACTTGTCACAATAGACACTCAAAATGAAGCCAGAGAGAAACATAATACTAAAAACAAAACCCACTGAAACAGTCTCAGTCAACTATAGAACAATAACAAGATACCTACCACATGTTTAATTATAAGGTCTAAGTGGAAAGAAAAAACTATATTATAGGACAAGAAACAGGGAAAAAGATGTTGGCCAGAATTTCTAAGTTTATTTTTTAATAATGATGAAGATACAACAGGATAAAATAACTCCAAGCAAAATAAACAGAAAGAAAATGATGCCAAAGTGCTTCACCATCAATTATAAAAAATTTAATTATAAAAAATTATAAAAAATTCTTCAAAATTGCTAGTGATAAAAGATATAAACGAATGAAGAAATGTTTACCACTGATACATTGGCAGAAAAAATAAAAGTCATGACACTATGACACTTTCTTTGTTTTTTTTTTTTTTTTTTTGAGACTGAGTCTCCCTCTGTTGCCCAGGCTGGAGTGCAGTGGTGCCGTCTCGGCTCACTGCAAGCTCTGCCTCCTGAATTCACGCCATTCTCCTGCCTCAGCCTCCCAAGTCGCTGGGACTACAGGCGCCCGCCACCACGCAAGGCTATTTTTTTTATTTTTAGTAGAGACGGGGTTTCACCATGTTAGCCAGGATGGTCTCGATCTCCTGACCTCGTGATCCGCCCGCCTTGGCCTCCCAAAGTGCTGGGATATCAGGCGTGAGCCACCGCGCCCGGCCAAAGTCATGACACTTTCTTATGTCAACCAATAACTATATGTCTGGTAGAATTATACCATAATCACCAAAAGTATTCTTTGTCAATGGATGTTGTATTATCAAATTTTGCATGTTTTTTTCTAGAAAATTTTTTCTCATTTACTAACAAATTGCATATATGGGTGTCTGTGTGTGGTATACTTAATATGAGCAAAATACTGTGTAACCAAAATGCTGACAAAGTCATATTTATAATTTCCTGTGTTTAGTCATATTGCATAATTCAATTATTCAGTTAGACTGAAACATAAAATATTATGACTTTTTCTAATGGAAAATTCTGAGAATAATTAACAAATATCCAAGGCACTCTCCCTCAGGTAATTATGTACAATTTTTTATCCTTGAATCAGATTGAAACTTCAACTAAATGAGTCTCAAGGGTTTTAGAAAAAAACCTTAAATCTATTCTGTAGCCACCTGTGAGGGCTAAAGAAGTAGAAAGCAAAGCAGATTCTCTGTTGAAGTAAGTAGAAACATTGATCATTGACAATTTTCAAGGGCAGAGTTTAAACTAGGTTATCACCAAAGATGTTGAAGGCCCCTATACTCTGCAAAACTATTTCCTCCCTTGCAATATAGGGCTATTAACTTAATGTTTCATGCTTTTCAACTATTTTTAACAAGGATCTTTGTCTATCATTATTTACCTAGTGCCCCTCCTGTCCTATTCTCATTTCCTATCTATGCACGTTACAGCATTTATAAGAACATATTCTAAAGGCAGGATAACTTTATCTGAATGAAGAACAGATGTGGCATAGGCCATATTTTTTCCCAGATACGCATTTTCAAGAAATTAATTCTTGCCTGGAATCCTGGAATGCCCTTCCTGTGACTGATTAAATAGCTAATTCCTTCTCCACCTTTAGGTTTCAATTCAAATGCCACCTTCTCAGAAGAGCCTTCCTTGTAAAAGTATTAATATTAATATTCTATGTGATAGTACTCTCCCAGGTTATCCTAGTATATTATCTTGTTTGTTTTACCTATTATGCTTATTTAAATCTGCAATTATTGTGTTTATATGCCTTCTTAACAGATTTTTCTCTTCCCTATCATTACAATAACATATTCACGATCTGAGGGTCAGGTAATTTATCTGAAGCTCGAACATAGCCTGGAACAAAGTAGAATTTTAATAAATATGTGGAAAATAAGAGGATAATTCACAGAACCCACAGGAAAAATTTATGCTTGGTATCATCAAACAAACTGGTACCAGATATCCAACAACGTTAGGAGTCATTTTGGTGTTATTTCTCTGTTTTCTTTTTTTAAGTAGTCACTTCTTTATTTTTTCTCACTGTAGAATAATCATTTGTTTCTCTTTCTATTCTATCTCTTTTAGAAGGAGAGAAACTGAATAGCTCTGGGCTTTTAAAATTCAGATCTGTGTGATAATATATTCTTAACTTTCTGGAACTTAATTGTGAACTTTAAAATAAAGAACTATATGATAAGACTTATTTGGACCAGGTGCCCACCACTGGAACTATCAATTGTGACTCCAACAGGACATGAATTCACTTAGTTAGGGGCAAATAATCATGATTAAAATATACAACTCTAGGAAAGTGTTCATCCATACTAAAATAGCACGCTGAATCTATGGCAAATACATGCAACATAATTATCATAAAAACCCTCAAAATGAAGGTGTTTATTCCTGTTACAATAATATAAATATCAAAAAACGTAAAAAAAACAGATCAGCTAAAATTAAGAGCAGGTGTATTGTGTAAATTTAAGAAATATAACATTTTATAAACAAAAAATTGAATTAAAAGAAAAATCATGAAAAAAACACGGAGTATTGTACGAACTTTTAGCACAAGGAAAAGAATAGTCATGAGAGGGAAGAAATAGAAAGTAGTACCCAGGAAAGCATAATGTTGAGGAATTACAAAAATGATAAAAATCTTACTGATTTTTTTTTTTTTTTGAGACGGAGTCTCGCTCTGTCGCCCAGGCTGGAGTGCAGTGGCGCAATCTCGGCTCACTGGCGCAATCTCGGCTCACTGCAAGCTCCGCCTCCAGGGTCCACGCCATTCTCCTGCCTCAGCCTCCCGAGTAGCTGGGACTACAGGCGCCCGCCACGACGCACGGCTAATTATTTTTTTTTGTTTGTTTGTTTGTAGAAAGGGGTTTCACTGTGTTAGCCAGGGTGGTCTCCATCTCCTGACCTCATGATCTGCCCGCCTCGGCCTCCCAAAGTGCTGGGATTACCGGTTTGAGCCACCACGCCTGCACAAAATTTTACTGATATTATTTATGGAAACCTAAGAAGAGAAACAGCTACCTGAAAAATAGATCTGAAGAGATTTATCCATGTATTTTTGTTTGAGTTAATAAAATGGAAAGAGAAAAAGTAGTAAACAAACATGCATGTTGTAATTTGCAAGCTCAATATAGATCTAATACATGTTATAAAAGGATATAATTCTTAAAATGAAGAGTATAGTACCTAGTCTTGAGGCAAAGGAAGAATTATCAGATTAGGAAATTGCAAGTAGCCATTGGATTATTTGGCGATATACAATTTCTTAAGCCTTTCTCATGATCAGTGCAAAAATCATCAGATACATCCCAGCTTCAAATGTTTGTAAGCTAAGAACATATTCTTAATTCAATTACACTGCAAGGCAGTAAACCCTCAAAGTGTTGCAGGATGCTGAAACAACTATTTACTTTGCCATACTAAATTTACCATACTTGCTTTACTCTCTCCCAAGTGATTGCAAAGCTGATTTATTAGACTGAGAATACTGAGTTTAATAACTGAATTAGATTAATACATGACAAGAAGATCACACCCAGGAATTGTCCTTGCCATCTAGTGGAAATCCTAGAAAATGATTCCTTAACGTCTATAACCACTTATTTTCTTCCTCAAACAGATGAATTTCCAAACTCTGACATGGCTCCTGAAAATTTCACCAGGGTCACTGAGTTTATTCTCACAGGTGTCTCTAGCTGTCCAGAGCTCCAGATTCCCCTCTTCCTGGTCTTCCTAGTGCTCTATGTGCTGACCATGGCAGGGAACCTGGGCATCATCACCCTCACCAGTGTTGACTCTCGACTTCAAAACCCCATGTACTTTTTCCTGAGACATCTAGCTATCATCAATCTTGGCAACTCTACTGTCATTGCCCCTAAAATGCTGATGAACTTTTTAGTAAAGAAGAAAACTACCTCATTCTATGAATGTGCCACCCAACTGGGAGGGTTCTTGTTCTTTATTGTATCGGAGGTAATGATGCTGGCTGTGATGGCCTATGACCGCTATGTGGCCATTTGTAACCCTCTGCTCTACATGGTGGTGGTGTCTCGGCGGCTCTGCCTCCTGCTGGTGTCCCTCACATACCTCTATGGCTTTTCTACAGCTATTGTGGTTTCACCTTGTATATTCTCTGTGTCTTATTGCTCTTCTAATATAATCAATCATTTTTACTGTGATATTGCACCTCTGTTAGCATTATCTTGCTCTGATACTTACATACCAGAAACAATAGTCTTTATATCTGCAGCAACAAATTTGGTTTTTTCCATGATTACAGTTCTAGTATCTTATTTCAATATTGTTTTGTCCATTCTAAGGATACGTTCACCAGAAGGAAGGAAAAAAGCCTTTTCCACCTGCGCTTCGCATATGATAGCAGTCACGGTTTTCTATGGGACAATGCTATTTATGTATTTGCAGCCCCAAACCAACCACTCACTGGATACTGATAAGATGGCTTCTGTGTTTTACACATTGGTGATTCCTATGCTGAATCCCTTGATCTACAGCCTGAGGAATAATGATGTAAATGTTGCCTTAAAGAAATTCATGGAAAATCCATGTTACTCCTTTAAATCAATGTAATTTTAGAGCTCTATAAATAAATGAAGAGATAGTTCATGTAACCTGCCATTATGTAAGAGAAATAAAAGTAAGTTTACAAGCAATCCTAAGAATTACCAAGAGGTAAGATTTAAAGATCATTGAATTAAAAAAAATACATGGAAACATTTTGAGTTATGAGAGTAATACAAAACAAAAATATTATTTATTAACTTTGCCCAGAAATAATCAGGTAACCAGTTTGAATAAAATATTTTCAGGAGTAAGGAGCATATCAGTTTTTAAAAGGTTAAGTTTTAACAGAGCAACAAAATAGGAACAAGAGAATTAAAGTGAATATTTTTCATTCTGTGGACTCCTTTTTTTCTTTCTGGGTATGATTGGTAGAGTGGATGCCTGCATCTTGAAAAACTGTAACTACAGATGACTAAAATCATTTTTACAACAAAGTTAACAAATTTGAACTGACAATAATATTTAAAATAAAGCTCTTTAACTCTTAATATTGTTTGAATATACAATAAAGACATACTATCAATTAATACATATTTTAAATCCTCATTATATAATTGAAAATATTTTATTCCAACTAATATATTTTCTGCAATTTTTAAATAAAATGCTCAGACTACTATCACTGAATATGCTTTTATACTGGGTTTGCTTTGTAAACATCAGATTTTATAAAAATTTCCTTTTCTCCTTCCTCTAAATATCATTCATCCTTCATAGGTAAAACAAATGTTCTATTTTTGTATATTAATAAACTTTAAAAAAACTTGTTCATGGGAGTTTCTTACATCATCAGAAATATTTTTTGAATTTTTGTTCTTTTTTTCTGATAGTTTTTGATCAGTAAGTGTACACTTACACCTATTGTACAACTTATAATATATAGGAGTAATCAGACTTATAGGATATATCCCAGACTTATCAAATAAAAATCATAAGGCAAAAGTCAAAAAACTCATATTAAAAGTGCCAATGGGGATTCTGGCATTGAAACTTAGGAATATATCCTACAAATAAAGAACTAGACTGAAAGATACATATGGAAGATTATGTTGACATTCTGTGTGTGTGTTCAGTTTACTTGTAAGTAGGTTCTTGTGTTAAAGAGTTCCTTCAGGACTAAAGGACCAAAGAAACTAAATCTTCAGTCATGAATAATTATGAATAATTATGATATGGTATGAATAATTATGATATGAATAATTATGAATGATATGAATAATTATAATATTAAAAAGGAAACAAAACACAACTCTACAGTACAAAATTAGACTCAAGTAACTGGAAAAGTAGTGATTGGATATCTTTTAATTTGCCTTGGTGTTGAGATATTCAGTCTACTTTTCACGCCAATCTTTCTTCCACTTAGTGAAAGAATGAAAAGGCAGGAAAAAGCTATCTTGTTTGCATAAGATGAGATTTTTGAGGTAACATAATCACTTTTCCACAGTCCCAAATTCATTCCCATTTTTACTGTGCATTACATTTCCATCATAATTTTTTTTTTTATAAAAGGTCATCTTTGGATTCCACTGAATACGTTTTCTAGTTAGGCCTTCTATTGAACAATGGAATAATATAACCACATGTTTAATAACAAAATTTGTTCCACCAAACTCAGTTTTTATAAACTATTAACAAGGTCCTCAAATGACAATTTTTAGATTTAGGAAGAAATGCTAGAAGACCATAAAATTGTTTGTAGCCAAATATGACAAATGAAATATAATGAATTTTACCAGATCTATATATATTGATGTCGGGTTTTTAATTAAATTTTCAACCCTAAATATTATAATGCAATGAAAGTTTATCAGTTGAAAAATCATTGGTTTACCTAGTGCGATAATAAATGAATGGAGTACTATTTATGTGTATGCATGTAATAATCTGGGAATTCCTAATGAAGAAGAATTATCCTTCTTCGAAATTAATTTGCCAGAAATGTTTGGGCATCTATACTAGCCTGGTATTGTGAAGAGTATTCCAGAAAATATGACTTTATTTTGATGCTAAAGTAGGGAAAAATATTAAAACACTGAGCGCTTAATGATAAAGTCACTTCAGATGTATGTTTTTTTTCCTTTTTAATAAATTTTGTGTTATGCAAACTAAAGGTGCTATGAGTACAACTTTATTTGGAAGGAGATTTCTGGGTATCTTAATCTTCAGAGGTTTCTTCATAAAAATATTCAATCCTGTCTGTTTTACATGTCCTGTCTTCTGTGGATCTCCACACTTGGGTGTCCTCTATTACTTTCATTTATTGCCCAGCTTTTTTTAAAAAAGTGTTGCATATTTTTTTAAATGCAATGTTTATAGTAATGAAATGATTCACTATGAATTTACCATATATATATATATATATGTATATATATATATATGAGTGTTTATCCACCACTATTGATATTGCAAATTAAAAAGCAGGTTTATAAAAATATTATTTATTAAAGGAAATGAGAATTTTGAGCTAGGAAGGAGTGAATCCTTACAATGGTAAGTCAAAGAGATGTTGTTTCCTGCCAAATGATGTGATGTGAGGAGATGTGACCAAAGATGATATCAAGGATGAAAAGCTAAAATGCCAATAAGAATGGAGTGAGATGGAAAAACAAAATGTAGGAGGTGGAAAACAGAGGTGGAGCAAATGAAGACACTTTGGTATGACGTGTCCTGTGCTGTACCTTCTATGCGTTCACTTCATAAATATCTATTAAGGACCATGTACAGTCTGAAAGACATAATGCAAGACTATCATATTACAGTGACAAGAACTTTGACAGGAGAAGATTGTGTAGAATTTCTGTATTGTGACTTGGGCCATAGAGATTAGGAAAGAATCAGAAACCAACATATCAAACTTAGAAAACTCCCTTACAGCCACTAGGATCATCTTCTGATGATTACTAGAGACTAGCACTGTTCTTTGTGATCTACTTGTAACTATAGAGAGCAACCACAAAGCTCTTAAACATACCAGAATAAAATTGGAAATAAACTTAACCAAAGAAGTAAAATATCTCTACAATGTAAACTATAAAACATTGATGAAAGAAATTGAAAAGGATACAAGAAAATCTAAAGATACACCATGTTCATGGATTGAAATAATCATTATTAAGATGTTCATACAATCCGACACAATCTACAGATTAAAGCAATTCCTATCAAAATACCCATGCCATTCTTCACAGAAAGAGAGCAAAAATCCAAAAGTTTATACACCAAAGTGCATATCTTGCTTTCCACCATTTTGCTTCATATCCTGCTTACCCCAAAGGATTTGGAAACATTTTTACATTTATCCACATAGGTGTCTTAATTTTCCTAAAGAAACATCCCCACTCTCCAGAGGTGCCAAATAAATATTTATTGAAATCCATGTCATGATGAATTTTCTGCCTGCCAAAAATAATCATTACTTTATTGCAGTAGGAGTGGGATGCTTTAAATTTAGAGACACGGGTTTTTCTGGAAGAGGACTTCCCATGTGGATTCAGCTTGTGGATTGTACGTCAATTGTCTTTTTTCTTGGAAATAAATTAATTTGCTCATTTAAAAAAATGATGCAGGAAGCATACGAGTACTTTTTCTCTGAGCAACTTGGCTTTTTAAGTTTCTGTTATGCTTCAGTCATTACATCCAAAATGTTTGGAAGTTTCTTGTACAAACAAAAAAAATTAACCTTCAATGCACATAGGCTGCTCTCTCACCTTCATGACCACCGAGTGCTTGCTCTAGCTTTCATGGCCTGTGATCAATACCTGGTCATTTGTAATCCTCCTTTGTATATGGTCACCATGTCCCCCCCGCAAGGAGTCTGCATTCAGCTTATGCCTGCCTCCTATAGCTATAGCTTCCTGATGACACTTTCACATTATCCTCAGCCTTTGTCTCCCTTATTGCCCCTCTGTATCATTGATGTTCAATGGAAGCCTGTTCCTTATGTACTTAATGCTCAGAAAATTCTCTTGACACAGACAGGATGGCCTCTGTCTTCTACACAGTAGTCATTCCCATGTTGAGCCCTTTGATCTGGAGCCTCAGGAACAAGGATGTGAAAGATGCCCTGAGGAAAGTCATTGTCAACAGAAACCAGGCATTATTTTGTTCATAAAATTAAGAAACAAACTTGAAAAAACAAAGGCATACATTCCTTCTGATCTGTTTTCTCCCTGTTAATAAAATTCATATTGATCTTTGTTGTCAACCAGTAAAGATCTGCTCACTATAAAGTGAAATAATTCTCTGTGTTCTTTGTAGGCAAATAATTACAATTACATGTAGAAGGTACCATAACAATTCACATCAAATTCTATTGTGCACATAAATATATGTATATTTTTAAAATTGATTATCTCATCTGATAGCTGCACAACTATGTACTTGTCAAGAATACACAGAAGTAAAGGCATCCAGAACAACAAGTTTAAAGATTATTGGAGTGCTTTAATAATATATTGATAGGGGTAGCTTAACAAAATACTTAAAATTAAATTCAAATAATATATTTCAAATTAAGTTGAATAATATTTTCCAATTAAATTACAATAAACTTAGACTAGTGGTTTTGACTAGAAGTGAGTTTCCCCACTAGAAAACATTTGGCAAGTTCTGTAAATATTGCTCATTTCATGGTGTTGAGGTGGTGTGAACAAACGTTATTGCTATCTAAAGGATAGATGTTACTTAAGCTGCAAAATAATCTAAAATTCACAAGATAGCCCCTCACACAAAAAACTTACTCAGTCCAGAATGTTAATAGTGCCAATTCTGAGAAAGCCTACTTGAAGAATTGTTGTTTAATATCATTTGATTAATCATTGTTTCATTGATTTTAGTCAGGAGGAGAGTGCTTTTCCAGTCTTTTATAATATTGCTCTTTTCTTCTTTATTTCCTCTCTCAATTATTAAGACTGATATTAAAATTGAAAGTTAAATTATGTTTTTTCCTTTCTTATCTATCAGTTTTGATGTCAAATATTCTGGGGCTTTTTGTCATTAGTACATAAATTTATTCTTTATTTTTATAGTTTTTAACTTTTATTTTAGATTCAGAGTCGTATGTGCAGGTTTGTTATACAGATCAATTTCAGGACACTGGGGTTTGGTGTACAGATTATTTTGTCACCCAGATAATAAGTATAGCGCTTGATTGATACCTTTCCCTCCTCACCCTTCTTCTACTCTCCACCCTCAAGTAAGACCCAGTGTCTGCTCTTCCCTTCTTTGTGTCCACCATGTACTCAGTGTTGAGCTCCACTTTTAAGTGATAACATGTGGTATTCGGTTTTCTGTTGCTGTGTTAGTTCACTTAGAATAATCCTCTCCAGCTCCATCCATGTTCCTGCAAAAGACATGATCTTGTTCTTTTTATGGCTGCATAGTATTCCATGGTGTATACACATCACATTTACTTTGTCAGTCTATCGTGAATGGGCAGTGAGGTTGATTTCATGCTTTTGTTATTGTGAATAGTGCTGCAATAAACATTCACAGGCATGTGTCTTTGTGATAGAATAATTTATATTCTTTGAGTAAATACCCAGTAATGGGATTGCTGGGTCAAACTGCAGTTCTATTTTTAGGTTTTTGAGGAATCACATTGCTTTCCACAATGGTTGAATAATATACACTCCTGCCAACAGTGTATAAGTATTCCCTTTTGTTCATAACCTCATCAGCACCTGTTATTGTTTTGATGTTTTAATAATAGCTATTCTCACTTATAAGTGAGAATATGTGATATTTGTTTTTCTGTTCCTAGATTAGTTTACTAAGGATAGGGAGCTAAATGAGAAGAACACATGGACACGTAGAGGGGAACAACACACACTGGACCCTGTCTGAGGGTGGAGAGTGGGAGGAGGGAGAGCATCAGGAAAAATAACTAATGGGTACTAGGCTTAATAACTGGGTGATAAAATAATCTGTATTACAAACCCCCATGACACAAGTTTACCTATGTTAAAAACCTGCACATATACCCCTGAACTTAAATGTTAAAAAATAATAATGGCCATTCTCACTGGGGTGAGATGGCAACTCATTGTCATTCTGATTTGCATACCTCCCATGATCAGTAATATTGAGGTTTTATTCATATGCTTATTGGTCACATGTATGTCTTCTTTTGAAAAATGTCTAAGTCCTTTGTCCACTTTTTAATGGAATTGTTTTTTTCTTGTAAATTTGTTTAAGCTCTTTATAGATGCTGGAGATTAGACCTTTGTCAGTGGCACTGAATGCAAAATTTTTCTCCCATGCTATAGGTTGTCTATTTACTCTGTTGAGAATTTCTTTTGCTGTGCAGAAGCTCTTTAGTTTAGTTAGATACCTTGTCAATTTTTGCTTTTGTTTGGGCTGCTTTTGGTGTCTTCATCATGAAATTTTTGCCCATTCCTATGTCCAGAATAATATTGCCTACGATGTCTTCTAGGGTTTTTATAGTTTTGTGTTTACAGTGAAGTCTTTAATCCATCTCAAGTTAAATTTTGTGTAGAGTACAAGAAAGGGGTCCAGTTTCAATCTTCTGCATATGGCTAGCCAGTTATCCCAGCACCATTTATTGAATACTGAGTTCTCTTCCTATCGCTTGTTTTTGTCAGCTTTGTCAAAGATCAGATAACTGTAAGTTTGTTGCCTTAGTTCAAGTTTCTCTATTCTGTTCCATTGGTCTATGTGCCTGTTTTTGTACCAGTACCATGCTGTTTTGGTTACTGTATCCCTGTAGTGTAGTGTGAAGTTGGGGAATGTGATGCCTCCAGCTTTGTTCTTTTTTACTTTTTTTAATTATTACCTTGGCTATTTGGGACCTTTTTTGGTTTCGTATAAATGTTATAATAGTTTTTTCCAGTCCTTTGAAGAAAGTCACTGGTAGTTTGCTACGAATAGCATTGATTTGGGCAGTATGGCCACATCAATGATATTGATTCTTTCTATCCATGAGCATGAAATGTTTTTCTATTTGTTTGTGTCATCTTTGATTTCTTTGAGCAGTGCTTTGTAATTCTCATTATAAAACTCTTTCATCTTCCTAGTCTATTGCTAGATATTTTACTATTTCTGTGGCGATTGTGAATGGGATTGTGTTCCTAATTTGACTCTCAGCTTGGCTGTTTGGTGGATAGGAATGCTAGTGATTTTTATACATTGGTTTTGTATCCTGAAACTTATGTAGTTTTATTTTAACAAACACGAAGAAACAATGCACACACACCTTAAATAATTTGCTCGATGCCACATGGTTCTTAAGAGTGATGTGAGATTCAAACCTAACTTAGCTAACTACAGAGTTCCTTTTGCTTGTTATATATGGATTGAAAGAATTGACTGATCTTTTTACCTTACCAACTTACTTTTTTTGCTTCTAACAATACTTTAGGAAACATTATCAGTTTTCCTATAGCCACTGACAGAAATAAGAGAAAAAGAATGCACTTAAAAATATTGGTGAAGTGGTTTCTACTAAACCTAATAAACTTGCTAATTTATTCCACTCATTGGGATATAAAGAGTTTACAGGTTTTGGCAGTCAGTGATCAAAAAGATAAAGACAAAAAAAAGAAAGAAAGAGAGGAGAAAAAAAGAGCAAAGAACTAAAGTATTAAGAGAAGAGTAGATGTGATGAGTTATATCTGGATGGATTATGAGATCCCATTCAAGATGCAGAATGAGATACTGCAGTGGTAAGTGTGGATTTACCCAGAAGAGCAATATTTGAAGTCATACCAATGGGTAGGATTCAAAGGGTATACAGAGCTTCTCTTTCCACATAGGGTGTAGAAAGCTACAAAGAACCTTGCTCCCAACCTATTTAAAACACTTCAGTTAACCTATGAAGTCATAATTGTTGTGAGTCTATCTTGGAACTAAGGCTGTGCTGCAAATGGGACACATGAACTGTTTCACTTTTGGCAAAGGGTGAGAGAAAGATGAGGCCACCATAAAGGTATGTAGGAATAAATTAGCTAAATTAAAAAAAAAAAGAAAACTTAAATCCAAGTGTGTACTATTGAGAAAATCAGAAAGTTCTAGATTGAAAGGATTTACATTCACTCTTAAAAGTTTTCTCTGCAGGCCCCTTCCAAATGCTTATGAGATTTACTAATAACATCAATTTTTCAAATACAGATGCTCCTGATGGTTGTTGACTAAAGAGCATTTACAACTACAAGAATAAACGTTATAGTGGAGAGAGTAAGGAACATGCATAAATATGACAGAAATTTCATCAGATAGTGACTACAGGAAGTGTCCAGTGAAGTACTGGGCCACCCACCCAACTCTCCAAACACACGCTCACAATATTGGAGACAAAGAATTCATTCAACCAGCTTATCAGTGGAGTCCATAAGGATGAGGAAACAATTTGTGAACCTGAAGATGAACCAATAGTAATTTATCAAAGAGAAAGAAAGTTAAAGAAAAAAAGTTGCAACAAAAGTATACAAGAACTCTATGGCAATGTCAAGTAGTCTAATAACAAACAGAAGAATAATGGAGAAGAACGGAAGCTTGAGAAACATTTGAAGATACAGTGGTGAATAATTTTGTAAAAGTAAGAAATCCATCAAACCATTGGTCCAAGAAGGTAAGAGGATACCAGGAAGAGGATCCCAGGAAGGAGACATACAAAAAGTGAAACTAAATGAAGCCTATTTTCAGGAAAATAAATACACATACATACACACCTACACACATGCTCAGTGCCTACTTATGCTGAAATAATTGATAATCAAGAGACTTGTGCTCCAACTATTTTTGAAGTAGAGGGTCTGTAATAACATAAGAAAACATGGCTTCACACAAATAAAGAAATAGCACTAAAAATGTATAACTGAAAATAAAAAATAACAAATATTGGACATTTTAATTGCTTTAAAAAATAAATATCTAGCAAAACTATGCTGGTGCATTCTGGGTTTAAACCATACATAACAGTAAAATTTACCACAAAAAATAGCAAAATGAATGGAAGAGAAGATCTGACTTGACATTACCCTAAGGGTCTTATGTGAAAAGATATGTTGTAGATTATTTTATTTAAACTATAATACATAAACTGTGCATTTCATAATGCAGGGTCACCACCAAGAAGAGAGAGGATAAATATTACCAATATCAGGAATGAAATAAGGCATTTTATTATGGTCCCCACAAGTATGGAAAGAAAAGAAGAATATTATAAACAATATTTTGCTAATAAACTTAAATGAAAAGTACTTAAGTGAAAACTATTAAATGAAAAGTACAATTCTCTAAAGAAGCTTACATCAGAAGAAATGGGTAACCAGGGTAGTCCTATGCCAACTTAATAAATTGAATACATTCATAAAAACCATCAATATGAACAGTGAGTTTGAAATTGCCTTCCCAGTGTCAAAAAATCTCACCTTTTCCTCTGACTGGAATGCGGACAACGTACTAGATTAACTCTCTTCAATAACACAGAAGAGGACAACATCAAGGAGAAAATAGAGCAATAACACAAAAGAACCTGTGTCCTAGGATTGCCCTGTGAAAAACAGCTCCCACAAGTCTAGTCAGATCAAGAGTAATTGGATAAAACAGAGAAAATTCTGCAGGTTATATTTAAGAATACTTCTGTTGTAGTTGGGTCTCTCTGTTTCTGAATCATTTTAATTTTTTTTTTTATTTTTTGGATCAGAAAATCCTTTATTCTGATAAATACAAATTTTCTCACCAGCATCATCCCATCAATATAATAATTAATATATTATTACTATTTTCATCTAGCCATAATTATTTGGAAGTAAAAATAGCTGTTCATATCTTGCTATGCTGAATTACAGGTTTTTTCATACTTATATGGCACTTTGGCAGGACACTAAGAACCAGAGGACTATGTCTTCAATTAGACAATATCTTACATAAACTGGTCTTTCTTTATTGAGTTATTTTTCTGTAAATCGGACTGTACATATATATTTGAGATTTAGCTAGTAATGCCAAAATCACACCATCCTCCATCAGCAGCCCTAGAGAATGTATATTAACAGCATATACCTTTTAATAACCTCTGTTTTTTTATGTCTTTAAAAATATACCAAATTCTATTTGTTTCAATGAGATTATAGTAGTAAACCATTGCATTTTTTAAAAAGTGGGAGAAGTTATTGAATCTCTCTGTGTTCCAGTTTCATGATCTATAAAATTCAGTCTTTAAATACATTTATTAAGGTACTGTTCTAGGTACTGGGGGAAAGTCCTATGCTCATAGAGCTTACATGATAATAGGGGAAAACTGACACAAAATAAAAGGCACAAGAAAAATATTTAGAACATCAGATGGGAATAAGTGCTATGAAAAAAGAAGAACGTTTGAAAGAGGATGTGAACAGGTACCAGTTTTAATAGGGTGGTGAGAGATTTTCTTGTCGAGAAAAGGATAAGAAAAAAATGATGCAGTTATCTTTGGGGAAAAAAAGTTTCAGGAAAAAGAAAATGGAAAATTTCAGGCCGTATTTCAGAAATATTATATAGGGTTTGTGAAGAAAAATTATGATCTAACCTACTGTTTCACAGTATAACTCTGGCTCCTACATTGAGATTAGACTCAAGAGGAATAAGAAAAAAAGTTAGGTGCATTCTACAATATTGAAGCAATAATTCTGAAGTGGAAAATATAGTTATCTTGGCCACGATGGCGGCAAAAACATGTTAAAACAGACACCAAATACAGTCTATATTTAGAATCACCTTAATATGCTGATGGAAAGGAAGTAAAGTGTGTTCAATAAGAAGAAAATTCCAAGAAAATTCTTAAGTCTGCTTGAACAAGTAAAGGGTGGTTTTCCATTAATGTGAGATTAAACTTTACATATTGCTAGTACTGACCTGACAGTTAAATTATAACAATAAATTATGTTAATTAGATATACATAAAGCCTTTGAATATTGCCTGACCATGGAAAGTGCTCAGAAAAATATATTATTACTGTTTTCCTCTAGCCATAATTATGTGGAAGTAAAAATAGCTGTTCATATCTTGCCATGCTCAATGACAGGGTTTGTTTCATATTTATATCATAGGGCATTTTGGCATGACACTATGAACCAGACAACTATGTCTTCAATTAGACAATATCTTACATAAAATATACTTTACACCAATATAATAAGGAAAGTATAGGCCAAATGTGAACAGTCTAAATCTTTCATGTTGTGCATAGATTATTGTATACTTTTTAATAACATTATGTGAATATGTTTTAGCCTATGTTATGAAGATGATAGGGTGGTCCTCATTAAATTAGAATGTAAACAATTTCCCACCATGTGTTGACCACAAAGTGATAGATTCTGTTGGCCATCTTTGCAACCCAAATTGACAGGATCCATTTTCTAAATCATAGAAGTAGACATAAATGAAAGCAAGATAAAACCATAGTTTATAGAAATAAATAGAAAAATGGAAAGAACCTGTAAATACATGAACTTATATTATGCATTTATTAGATAAGAATGAGCCAAAAACATATTATTAAATAATAAATGTCGATTAAATACTTATTTCTAATTGCAAATGAAAACAAATACAGGGACCTATAAATATATATTCCTGAAAAAATGGATATCAAAGCAAAAATTAAATTATAATAATTTTACATGGCATTAATACTTGATAAACAAAATTGTGAAATAAATTAAGAGGAAACAATATGTATTTAAAAGATTTGAATAAATTAGCTGACAGTTTGAATAAGTGAAATTTTATTAAAATGTTAACTCCTAAAATAGAGGATACAGTCTATTTTAAACATTCAAAATGCACTTAGAAAAAATCAAATATAATTGTACAAACAAAAATTTCAATATATAAACGAAAACAGTCTATCTAGTAACTGTTACAAAAGTTTAAACAAAAAAGACAAATACTTGGAAAATAAAAACTAGCTTCTAAAATATCCTTTAAATAGCAGATAAAAACAAAACTGTGTTTCCAGAATATGTAAGGAAAACATTTAAAAATAAAAGACATTTAAGCACACTACCTGACTAAAATTGATGGGATGTCACAACAACTGAATTCATTGTCAATTCTTTGCTTTACATCTTTTCTGTATTAAGAAATGTAAAATCAATGAATAAAGCATTTAATTCAAGGAGTTATTTTAAAACTGAAACAAACCTGTAGAAAACAGGAGAAAGGCAATGATTTTTAAAAACACACAGGATTTTAATAAAGAAGCAATTTGACACATTACGGAAATCCACTTTTCACCTGTTTAGCATGCAAAGGACATATCACTGCATGTAGATTTTTAACGTGATGAATTTATATTTCAAGTCCAAAACATTGTGAAATGAGACTTGATTGTGCCCATGTATCAAGAAAAACTTTATGTTAGATTTGTCGATGACAAAGAGATTATCTAATGTTAAACTTGTAAATGAATACAGAAAGCTGAAAATCAGTATGTAGAAAGTGATAGAAATTTTTGTTTATATGCGTTATATATGTGCACGTATTTGAAACTATTGATCTAGAAGAACATGCACAAAACTCAATATTTGTTTTTCTAAAACTGAAAACGAGTTTATTAGAGAAGTAAATAAACAAAAGAATGGCTACTCCACAGGAAGAGCAGCCAAAACTCAATATTTGTAGAGGATTTCTATTTTCTTCAATATTTTATAATATTTTCAAATTTTCTCTAACATTATATTAATATAGGCTATTTTTTCTATAACATAATTCTACTGAAATATTTTACTTCTGAAATCCAAAATTGTGAGCTGCTGATTTTTGTTCTTTTTAGTTCTGTCAATTAAATTAACCAAAAGTAATTTGTGAAACACGAGTTTACATTCTTGAAAAAACGCACTGTGCAGTAATGTAGGTCTTCTAATGATAATGGGAAGCATTAATTATTATCGCTTTAAATACTCTACAACTACCCTCTGATCAGATTTGGAGTTATTTATCTTGCGCACTTAGGGAAAGGAGGCTTAAGCTTTAGGTAACATATTAATGGCTACACAGCTAAAAGTGTAGCATATTTAGAATCTAACTCTTGGAAAATTTTATTCCAAAGTAAGTACTCCTACCCACTCTGCTATGATTCTTCCCCACATAATAAATGGAATAACATCTAAAACTATTATCACCGTGTCTCAAATATTCTTTCCATAATAAATTTATCTACAGTTGAAGCATACATAAGAATTTGAATAATATAATTAAAAATGACAACCTTATTTTCTTATTTTCCACATCAGTTGCTTCAAAACATGACACACATATTATGATTCTAATTACCATTTGGATTTCTAAAAACATATGCCTTGAAATGTTTTAAATCATGTTTAGTCAAGCAAAGAGTAGCACAACAGAAATGCAAATAAATTAAAGGATTCAATTGTTTTTATAGAGAGACTAAGAAAATACCCAATAGGAATGAAAGAAAAGATGAGATTAAATGTTCCATTTCTGCTATTTTAACTACCTGGAGTCCTGTCTTCTCTGCATGACTCTAATGAGAGCATTTTTCACTTCTCTGTTTCTAAGACTATAAATGAGTGGATTCAGCATGGGAATCACAATAGTATAAAACACAGGAGCCACTTGATCTCTTCCCAAGGAATAAGACTTTCTTGGCTTTAAGTAAGTAAAAATCATAGTTCCATAGAAGATGGTGACTCCCAAGAGATGAGAGACGCAAGTAGAGAAAGCTTTCTGCTTTCCTGAAGTGGAATTAATTTTCAGGATGGTAGAGAGAATGGACACATAGGATGCAGATATTGTGATAAGGGACACCATCAGGGTGGAACCAGCGATAATGAATATCAGCATTTCAGTGTTGTCTGTGTCAGTGCAGGACAGAGCTAAAATTGGGGAAGTGTCACAGAAAAAGTGATGAATTATGTTTGAGTCACAGAAATGCAATCTGCTCATGGAAACCACATTGACAAAGGAGTCCATAAAGCCAATCACATAAGGCCCAGTGATGAGAGCGAGGCAGAGCCTTTTGGGCATAATAACTGTGTAGTGTAGAGGACTGCAGATCGCTGCATAGCGATCATAGGCCATTGAGGAGAGAAGATAACATTCAGCAGTACCCAAGAAGACAAAACAGAACATCTGGGCAAAGCAGCCCGTGAAGGAAATATAGTTGGAAGTCAGTAAGTTCGCTAAGGTTTTAGGTGTGACGACAGTTGAGTAACTGAGGTCAATAAATGACAGGTGAGTAAGGAAAAAATACATGGGAGTGTGAAGCTGGAGGTCCAGGCGGATTATCAATAGCATCCCCACATTCCCCAGCATAGTAATTAGGTATATGAGGAGAAATAGCATAAACAGAGCCATCTGGACCTCTTCAGAGTCTGACAGTCCCGTAAGGATGAAGTCAGCCACATTTGTGTCATTCCTTCTACCCATCATGTTCACCTGCTCTAAACTGCTGAGAAATCAAAGTTGATACGTAGCAGGGGCGCCTGTACTCCCAGCTACTGGAGAAGCTGAGGCAGGAGAATCGCTTGAACATGGGAGCCGGAGGTTGCAGTGAGCCAGAGGTTGCAGTGAGCTGGGATCACACTATTGCATTGCAGCCCCAGCAACTGTGCCAGACTCCGACTCAAAAAAAATAAACAAAACAATCAAAAAAAATTTCTGTTTATATGAATGACCTAGCATTTAATAATTAGTTTAACATTCTACAAATTGCTAATAAATTTATAGAATATGACTAAAGAGACTAATTTTATTGCCAATATAGATATAAGTTCAAATTAACATTTGCATATGTTATAATAAAATGTAGCATATTGCATAATTAGAATGAACCTGACATTGTTCTGAATGGCTTCCTTTATTAATATATTTAATCCACCTGAAAATATTATACCATAGATACTACTATTATCCACATAGTTTAGGTGAGGGAAAAAAAGAGTATGGAAGGTTGGAGTAACTTATCCAAAGTCAGATCAATTCAATGTTGACACTGATTCTACAAAGATATATTCCTTCAGAGAGAAGGCTTATAATACTACAATCTTGTTTATAAATAATTTCAGAAAACTTGAGAAAAGAGGTGGACATGTAATAAAAAATGAGAGGAAACAGTTTTATTATATAATTTACTGCCCTTTTGTTTCCAATATTATTTAATAATAATTTTCAATAAATTTCACCCTTGGGGTTTTTAGTCAGGTACATTAAAATTATAGACAATATATAAGTATTAATTTATAAAAGATGTGATGTTTTCCTGACATAACTAATCAAAATCTAATTTCTTCCAAAAAATTATATTTTCAAAATGTATACTTTGCTTGTAGACTCTGATTCTGGCAACTCTACATTTGTCTCACAAACCCTGACATTACTTAGGGTAGAGAGTAAATGATATGTGTATATATTAATATATACATTAATATATATTAATATATTATTCTGCGAAAGTCCCCATTTTATTTCATCTGAAGTAAAATGTGAAACAAAATCTTCCAATTTTGAGAATAATACTTACTGTGTGTAAGTCAACATTCATGAAAAAACTTTCTTCTTATATTATCTGTATGGAAATTTGTCAACTTCAAATTTTTGTTATAAATAAAATAAGAAAACTATTTAAGGAGATGAAAATTTTTATAATATTTGTTTTCCTTGAGATAAGTTGTTTTTACATTTTGGTGCATTCATTATGTTTTATTCTGAGTTATGATAAACCAATCTAGAAATTTTGTTTAGGTTCTGGTCTAATGGAAAGATTACCAAGAAGTTATGTGTCAAAGAAGACCGGCAGCCACTGTGACCATAAGGAGATTATTCTTTCCCTCTCACTCGGATAATTCCAGAGGATCTCATATACCAGAGGCTGATGACAATGCACCTTTTGGTAGGCCCTGGGGGCCATTTGCCAAGGCAGATTGTTTGGCATGTTTCCAAGCACAAAAGTTCAAGGACTAAATGTAGCCATGTTAGGCTTTGTGCAAAGATTTTCCTTTTTACCTTAGAAGCCACACAAATGAAGGAAATTATGAATTGGTCTTTTCTTGTGATGTTCTCAATATTTTACAGGCGTGGTGGAGAAGGCATTTCCAGAAAAAATAGTTACTCTGTGACTGACATCATCAAAGATGGAATAATACATTTTTCACAATTAAATTTCTTAATATTTAAAAGTGCGATACTATCGTATATGTAAACCATGTTAATTGGAAAAGAATCAGAAGATAACAAAATTCAAAAAAAGTAAATGAAAACAATTCAAAACTGTCGTTAACATTTTGTTAACATTATAATTTTTCCTAATTATTTTCCTTTGTGCCTTATTTGTACATGTACTTATAGATGGCATAACAATTATTGTACTATACAGTCAGTGTCTTTTGCTCATTTAATAACCAAAATTTTATGCTATGCCATGAGCTATCTTATATTAACCTTTTATCAACCACACAATTCTACGGTTCATGTATTGGTTAGTGCCCCGTAACTTACTAAGTTAACTATGTGTTTACGAGCTGATAAACAGACATTTTGAAGCATTATCAGAAAGTGGTGTAGGTTATTCATTCTGGTGTGGTGGTGTCACCTAATTCATCTACATGCAATATTTGTGCACTATGTTTTGCTGTTTTCATGTACTTTTTAAAATTTTATGAAACAAAAGTGAGAGCAGAAAAACAAAATCAGCCATGAGACTAATAAACATTTTATAATTAATTTAGTAGCCCAAAACATACTTCCTCCATGTATAGTCAGGTCAATTTTTTCCTTAAATATGAGTTAAAATTAAAATATAAAAAGAGAGCTGAAATATTCTACTGAGAATTATTTGTCCAAGATGAGGAAGCAAGGGAAGATTCTGAAACAATATAAAATGTGAAACAGAGTAAAATATTAAAGTGAATCTTAAGTCATTATAAAAAAATCAATTTTATGTAAATTTTAAAGTGAGTCTAGAAGGAAAGCATGCCCATAATCTAGAATTTCAGGAGATAATCTGTTGGTAGGTATAAAGCGCTACATTTGTATGTATTTATTGTACCTTTGATGAGTTTTGGGAAGAGCGATTCTATTCACCAGAAATTTAGTGCTCCTGAGACAGGTTGATTTGAATATTTAAAAGCCAGCATCACACTCTTTAACAATAGATAACATTAGGGTTTAAGCCAAATAAGAGGCAAAAGGTGACTATGTCAAAACTACCTCAATAGGCTTGGTGATCGTAAAATCTCCGAGAGCAAGGGATTTTCTTGCTTGATGTTTTTCTAACATTGAAAACCATTTTGTTCAGGTTCAGAGTTGTTTATCATGGCAGGAAAATTATTTTCCCATTTACTAAATCATTGCTGAAACCTAATTCTGACCAGAGATTTTAAATCTCTTTCAATTTAAATGATGAAATAATGTAATGTCCTAGCTAGTTATACTTTTTATGATTTATTTATTTATTTAGACACAGAGTCTCACTTTGCCCAGGCTGAAGTGCAGTTGTGCTATCTTGGCTCATTGTAACGTCCACCTCCTGGGCTCAAGAGATCCTCCTGCCTCATCCTCCCAAGTAGCTGGGACTACAGGTGAACTCGCCACCAGGCTCAGCTAATTTTTTGTAGTCTTTGTAGAGGTCTCCCTATGTTGTCCAGGCTTGTCTTGAATTCCTGGGTTCAAGGTATCTCCTGCCTAGGCCTCGCTAAGGGCTGGGATAATAGTTGTGAGCCACAGTGCCTGGCCTTTATATTTTAAACTATGTTTCTTATCCTCTTCTATTCTCTCTCTATCTCTCTCTCTCTTCTGGAATATGTTTATTATTTTTTTTAATCTTTGGCTCAGTTAAAAAAATTACTTTTCTGATATATTTTGTTCAAATACTTATTAATTTGTTTATTCGTTAGTTATTTTAGTTATTCTTATTTTAACATTTTTTTCCCCTACTTTATCAGGTTGGGTTCATTATTTTTTTCTCCACCACCTAGTAAAAGTATTTTCTTATGGTTACCTGTTTAATATTATCAGAATTTAATATTTGCATTATCCATCCTGGTGTCACTCTTCACCTGTATACATAGTGATCTGAATTATTTCTATTGTGGCATATTATATAAATAGTCTAAAGTTAAATGTTTCGTTTCTTATTTGACTAAGATTAACCTCAGCTATGCTTAGTTATTAAGTTATTAAAATCATAGTAAATTTATGATTCTAATTTTTTAAAATTTTTAATTAAAATTTAAAATTTTAAATTATTTTTACTATTTATTTATTTATTTATTTGGAGTCTTGCTCTGTTGCCCAGGCTGAAGTGCAGTGGCACAATCTTGACTCACTGCAGCCTCTGCCTTCAGGGTTCAAACAATTCTTCTGCCTCAGCCTCCTGAGTAGCTGGGACTACAGGCACACCCACCATGTCCCACTTATTTTTGTATATTTTTAGTAGAGATGGGGTTTCACCATGGTGGCCAGGTTGGTCTCGAACTCCTGACCTCAACTGATCTTCCTGCCTCAGCCTCCCCGAGTGCTGGGATTACAGGTGTGAGCTACTGTGTCCAGCCAATATTTATTTTTTATTGAATTGCATTGTGGTTATGACTGCTTTAAGCCTTGTAAATTTATAAATTACTTTTAATCAACTGGTATAAATTACTCATAGATTCTGGGAAAGAAAGATCCAAATGTCAATATGCAAGTCTGGCTTTTTCTATTACAGTATTTGTAGATTATAAATTCTCAGTGGGGCAAACAGAAATAAATACAAAAATGAGTGATTAAACATATCAGAAGGTGAAATGTACTATAAATAAAATAAAGGAAATGTAAAACAGCATAAAAGATGGGAGGAGTGTTCAGAAACAGGGGCGTGAGGAAGCAACCAAAATGGAGGAGAAGGTTTATCTCAATGAAAAGGTGACAGTTCAGCAAAGACTTGAAGGAGGGAAGAGTTAGTCATATAGGTACGGGGTGGGAATGTGTTCCACACGGATGGATCATTAGGGTGAAGGACCTGTGAAGAGGATAGACCAGGTAGTTGAAGGAATAACAAGCAGGACTATGTGGTAAGAGTGCTGTGAAGAAAACTGGAGATAGTGCATGGGGACTTTTGAGCTTTCCTTTATAAAAAATAATTGCCGGCCGGGCGTGGAGGCTCATGCCTGTAAACCTAGCACTTTGGGAGGCCGAGGCTGGTGGATCACGAGGTCAGGTGATCAAGACCATCCTAGTTAGCAGGGTGAAACCCCGTCGCTACTAAAAATACAAAAAATTAGCTGGGTGTGGTGGTGGGTGACTGTAGTCCCAGCTACTCCAGACGCTGAGGCAGGAGAATGGTGTGAACCCAGGAGGTGGAGCTTTCAGTGAGCCAAGATCACACCACTACACTCCAGCCTGGGCAACAGAGCAAGACTCTTTGTCAAAAAAAAGAGAAAAAAAAAATTTCCAAGAAAGTCTTCAGTGATAGGCCCATACCGAAATAAGTGAAATAGAGAGCCATAAAAAATACCTGGAGAAAGTGAGTTTCAGGGAAATGGAAGAGTAAATACAATGTTCTATAAAATTAGTGCTTTGTTCTAATGTTTTGTATCACTTTATTTTAGTAAAAATTGAGTAAGCAAAAAATATACTGGGTTCTGACTATCTTTGGCTTTTTAGAGGCATTCATTGCCATGAATAAATTATAAAAGTTATATAGTTCTCTAATATGTTTATATTTTATAATATGAATATTTAGTTCTCTAATATGTTTATATTTTATAATATGAATATTTCTGTACATTATTTCCTAAAATGTATTTTTTTCTTTTGTATCTGTTGTCTTTAGCTATTAATTTTTGATAGTTTTTCTACCCATCCTCCTCTTCCCCTACTTTAAGAGGCAGATATCTGTGCAAATTCCTAGCCATGCTACACTAATACTACAGCTTCCTGATGACACTTTTACATTATCCTCAACTTTTGCCTCTCTTATTGACCCTCTGTATCATCGATGCTCTATGGAAGACTGTTCCTTATGTACTTAATGCTCAGAAAATTCTCTTGACACAGACAGGATGGCCTCTGTCTTCTACACAGTAGTCATTCCCATGTTAAACCCATTGATCTGGAGCCCCAGGAACAAGGATGTGACATTGCCCTGAGGAAAGTCATGGTCAATAGAAAACAGGCATTATTTTGCTCATAAAATTAAGAAACAAACTTCAAAAAAACAAAAGCGTGCCTTCCTTATGATCTGTTTTCTCTCTGTTAATAAAATTCATATCTATCTTAGTTGTCAACCAATAAAGATCTGCTCACTGTAAAGTGACATAATTCTCTATGTTCTTTGTAAGCAAAGAATTACAATTACATGCAGAAGGTAGCATAACAATTTACATCAAATGCTATTGCTCACATAAAAATATGTATATTTTTAAAATTGATTATCTCATCTGATAGCTGCACAACTATGTACTTGTCAAGAATACATAGAAGTAAAGGCATCCAGAACACCAAGTTTAAAGATTATTGGAGCACTTTAATAATATAGTGATAATGGTAGCTTAACAAAATATTTCCAATTAAATTCAAATAATATACTCCAAATTAAGTTGAATAATATTTTCCAATTAAATTACAATAAACTTTAAAGCAGTGGTTTTGACCAGAAGTAAGTTTTCCCACTGGAAATCATTAGTCAATGTCTGCAAATATTGTTGATTTCATGATGATGAGGTGGTTTGAACAATGTTACTGCTATCTAGAGGGTAGATGTCACTTAAGCTGCAAAATAATCCAATATTCACAAGACAGCCCCTCACACAAAAAAATTACTCAATCCGGAATGTTAATAGTGCCAATTCTGAGAAAGCCTACCTGAAAAATTGTTGTTCAGTATTGTTTGATTAATAATTGTGTCATTGATTTTAATCGGCTCAAACTGGAGGAGAGTGCTGTTCAAGTCCTCTATAATATTGCTCTTTTCTTCTTTATTTGTTCTCTCAATTATTAAGACTGATTTTAAAATTGAAAGTTAAATTATGTTTTTTCCTTTCTTATCTGTCAGTTTTGATGTCGAATATTCTGGGGCTTTTTGTCATTAGTACATGAATGTATTTTTTATTTTTATAGTTTTTAACTTTCATTTTAGGTTCAGAGGTGTATGTGCAGGTTTGTTATATAGATCAATTTCAGGACACTGGGGTTTGGTGTATAGATTATTTTGTCACCCAGATAATAAGTACAGCGCTTGACTGATACCTTTCCCTCTTTACCCTTCTTCCACCTTCCACCCTCAAGTAAGCCCCAGTGTCTGCTGTTACCTTCTTTGGTTCCACATGTACTCAGTGTTTACCCCCACCTATAAGTGATAACATGTGGTATTCGGTTTTCTGTTACTGTGCTATTTCACTTAAGATAATACTCTGCAGCTCCATCCATGTTCCCACAAAAGACACGATCTTGTTCTTCATAGCTGCATAGTATTCCATGGTGAACATGCATCACATTTATTTAGTCTGTCGTGGATGGGCATTTGGGTTGATTTTTATGCTTTGGCTATTGTGAATAGTGCTGCAGTGAACATTCACAGGCATGTGTCTTTATGATAGAATAATTTATATTCTTTGAGTATATACCCAGTAATAGGATTGCTGGGTCAAAGTGTAGTTCTATTTTTAGGTCTTTGAGGAATCACCACACTGCTTTCCACAATGGTTGAACTACACTCCAACCAACAGTGTATCAGTATTCCCTTTTCTCCATAACCTCACCAGCACCTGTTATTGTTTGGATTTTTTAATAATAGCTGTTCTCACCAGTAAGTGAGAACATGTGGTATTTGTTTTTCTGTTTCTGGATCAGTTTGCTAAGGAAAGGGAGCTGAATGAGAAGAACACATGGACATACAGAGGGGAACAACACACACTGGAGCCTGTCTGAGGGTGGAGAGTGGGAGAAGGGAGAGCATCAGGAAAAATAACTAATGGGTACTAGGCTTAATACCTGGGTGATAAAATAATCTGTACGACAAATCCCCATGACACAAGTTTACCTATGTAACAAACCTGCACATGTACCCCTGAACTTAAATGTTAAAATAATAATAATAGCCATTCCCAGTGGTGTGAGGTGGTATCTCATTGTAGTTTTGATTTTCATACCTCCAGCGATTGGTGATATTGAGCTTTTATTCATATATTTATTGGCTGCATGTATGTCTTTTTTTAAAAAGTATCTGTTCATGTCCTTTGTCCACTTTTTAATGGGTTTTTTTTTCTTGTAAATTTGTTTAAGCTCCTTATAGATGCTGGATATTAGACCTTTGTCAGTTGCATAGATTCCAAAAATTTTCTCCCAGTTTGTAGGTTGTCTATTTACTCTGTTGATAGTTTCTTTTGCTGTGCAGAAGCTGTTTAGTTTAATTAGATCCCTTGTAAATTTTTGCTTTTGTTTTGGTTGCTTTTGGTGTCTTCATCATGAAATTTTTACCCATTCCTATCCCCAGAATAGTATTGCCTTGGTTGTGATTTAGGTTTTATTATAGTTTTGGGATTACATTTAAGTCTTTAATCCATCTTGAGTTAAATTTTGTATGTAGTGTAAGAAAAAGGTCCAGTTTCAATCTTCTGCATATGGCTGCCAGTTATCCCAGCAGCATTTATTGAATATTGAGTCGTTTCCCCATTGCTTGTTTCTGTCAACTTTGTCAAAGATCAGATCACTGTAAATTTGTTGCCTTATTTCTGGCTTCTTTATTCTGTTCCATTGGTCTATGTACCTGTTTTTGTGCCTATACCATGCTGTTTTGGTTATTGTAGCCCTGTAGTGTATTCTAAAGTTGGGGAATGTGATGCCTCCAGCTTTGTTCTTTTGGTTTAGCATTGCCTTGACTATTTGGGCTCTGTTTGGATCCATGTTAATCTTACAATAGTTTTTTTCTAGTTCTGTGAAGAAAGTCATTGGTAGTTTGATAGGAATAGCATTGAGTCTGTCAATTGACTTGGGCAGAGTGGCTATATCAATGATATTGATTCTTCCTATCCATGACCATGAAATATTTTTCTATTTGTGTCATCTTTGATTTCTTTGAGCAGTGTTTTATAATTCTCATTATAGAACTGTTTCATATTCCTGGTTAGCTGTATTTCTAGGTATTTTATTCTTTTTGGCAATTGTGAGTGGGATTGTGTTCCTGATTTGGTTCTTGGCTTAACTGTTTGGTGTATAGAAATGCTGGTGATTTTTATACATTGGTTTTTTTATCCTGAAAATGCTGAAGTTGTTTGTCAGCTGAAGGAGCTTTTGGGCCAAGACTATGGAGTTCTCTAGATATAGAATTGTTTCTTAGTGTGGCTACATGTTTGTCAAATTTTTTCACATTTTCTTTGTTGTTGTTTTGAAGACTTTTTTTATTTAAAAAAATTTATATTAAGTTCAGGGATACATGTCAGGTTTGTGACATAGGTAAACTTGTGTCATGGGGGTTTGTCATACAGATTATTTTATCACCCAGGTATTAAGCCTAGTACCCATTAGTTATTTTTCCTGAGCTCTCTCCTCCCACACGCCACTCTCTGATAGATCCAAGTGTCTGTCAATCCCTTCCATGTGTTCATGTGTTCTCATCATTTAGCTCCCACTTAGAAGTAAGGACATGTAGTATTTGGTTTTCTGTTACTGTTAGTTTGCTAAGGATAATGGCCTCCAACTTCATTCATGTCCCTGCAAAGGACATAATCTCCGTCTTTTTTATGGCTACATGGAATTTTTTATGGATCTTTTGTATTTTTTTCTTTTGTAAATTTCATTCATTTCTGCTCTAATCTTTAGACGGAGTCTCGCCCTGTCAAGTGCAGTGGCGCGATCTCAGCTCACTGCAAGCTCCGCCTCCTGGGTTCATGCCATTCTCCTGCCTCAGCCCCCTGAGTAGCTGGGACTACAGGCGCCCGCCACCACACCCTGCTAATTTTTTGTATTTTTAGTAGAGAAGGGGTTTCACTGTCTTAGCCAGGATGGTCTCGATCTCCTGACCTCGTGATCCTCCCGCCTTGGCCTCCCAAAGTGCTGGGATTAAAGGCGTGAGCCACCGTACCCGGCCTCTGCTCTAATCTTTATTTTTTATTTTCTTCTACTAATTTCAGCTTTGGTTTGTTCATTCTTTTCCAGTTCTTTAAGACACATTGTTGAGTCTTTTATTTGAAGTTTTTCTTCTTTTTTGATGTCGGCGCTAGTATAAGCCATCATTTGACTCTATTTTATGCAGCACAAGTAGTCGTTTAGCTACCCTAGCTGGTGTCTGACTGGGTCACATGCCTCCCAAGTCAACTGGTTGTGAGCTCAGCACAGCACTAGGACTTGCCTAGGAGTTGCAGTCCTTTGTAGCCTAGACTGCCTTTTATGTTTAGTTAGAAGTCCAGGACCCTTTTAGCCCAAGATGGTGAGGTTTCCCAGAACCCAAGTTCCAGCTGCTGGCATGGATGATTCACCTTGGCTAGAGCTGGTCTAAATGTGCCCTCCTTGGAATCAGGCTTAACTATGGCCAGTGTTACTTTCCTCTGTGTCATAGTAGCACTGAGTTCAAATCATGCCCTCCCAAAGCCCACATGGCCTTGCATTTTAAACCCAATAAACAAGGCCCAGAACCCAGAAGCAAGCTTACTTTACTTAAACTCACACCTTCTTCTGCTTTATTCATTCTGCCTTACTTATTTTTGTTCCAGATAGTTTAACATGAAGAATGGATAGTTACGGGTTTTTTTTTAGTAAAACATTGTCTCTTTCCAAAGGGGTGATTGATTGTCCTGATATTCAGCCAGAGAAAAAATATATTAGAATATAGTAATCAAAGCAATGGTCCGTTTTAGAGTGAATTCATAAGTGTGAGTTCGAAATCCAAGATAATAATTTTCAGTACATCAGATTCTTATCTTTCTGATCAATTACACAAAGAGAACACATATTTCTCTATTGGAATAAGTAAAGACTAGAGAGAAGAATATACACTCAAAATTCCTCTAAAAATGGCAAACCAATTTGCAGAGACGCATCAGTAACTATATTATAGACAAGATTTTATCTTATAAAAAGAGGCATGCTGTTTGCAGCCATAGCATCTTAAAATTTACTTTTTGGTTTATAATCCCTTAAGGAGAGTTTTCTGGAAGAAGGAAATTATCTGCCTCAGTGTGCTTCTAACTATTTGTCTCTTACAAAATTCAACTATTTGGCAGTATTCCAGGATCGTTTTTAGGCATCGACCACTCAAATCTGGGTTTCAAAATTGTTAAAAAAATGCTTTAGTCAAGGTTGTCATCCAGTTTATTGATTGTGTTGCTTTTTCAAATTAACAAAAATAATCATTCTTTGGCAAAGGAAGAAGTGAGTATGAGGGATGAGAATAACCTCATTTATGTCTAAAAATATCAAATTGAAAATACACCAAAAAATCATCAAGAATCAACATCCAATTAACCTGCATGAAAATTCTACTAGTGTCCTTTTTATTCTACTATACTTGAAACCAAATTGTGGGTATAAACAATCTCTCATGATCTTCTATTTGTTCAGACCACTATGGAAGAGTGTTATATTTAAATCTCAAGTTAATAAAATTTCACTCCACATAACTCAGCTCTATTACTTTTCTCTCAAAAATACCTTTTGACTTATCCTATCCCCATGGGGCCTCTCTTTCTTATCACTTAATCATTTTTATTATTTTTTGTTGTGTTTGATTAGTATCTACATCTACCAGTGTGGTGACATTGTAACTTTCATGAATACAGGTATTGTGTTTGTTTGATATTAGAATTATATCTTTAGGGTATAAAAGAGCACATAGAAAATATAGTTTATTGACAAAAATATTTACTGACTGAATGGTGAGTCAAAGAGTAAGTTAGATTTGTTCTTATGTGCTTAGATTGTTCAGTGTGCTAGATTTGTTCTCTTCTGTTTGTTAATTATCCATACAGTATATATCTTCTGCCCCTTTGCAGGTGTTTTGCTACTTATATTCTAACCTGGTTCTCCTCTCCACATCCACTAGCTCACCTCTGAATTTTTGAAACAGTCAAAAAAGTTTCAGATGGGGGAAATGTTGGGGCTCAGAACACTATACCTTGAAGTATGGTAGCTTGGCATGCTGAGGGCTTTGAACCTAATGAAACTGTAAGGACTTCAGAATCTAGGTTTTTCGTTGTTGTTGTTGTTGCGTTTACCTTCTTCTACGTTCCTTTCTTCTGCTTCCCCTTTTCTCCCAAGGCAAGCCTTAAAAACTACAGTTTCTCTTCCCCAAGGTGGGTCATAGAACATAGAATTCCTTTCTTCAAAGCAAGACAAAATAAACCTAAAAACATCACTCTGACCTTCCCCTGATTTTCTGTGGACGCGCTCATCGTAAAGAAATTCTCTGATCTATGTTGTCTGAAAGTAGGTCAGAGACCCACATTCCAGAAGAGTCCTGTCCTATACTAAGGAAAAGGAATGCTACACTGAGAAGCCAAAAAGAATGGTCCTTAAGAGCAATGTGAGGATTCAAACCTAATTTGCCTAGCTACAGAATTCCCTTTTTAAAGTTTGTTATATAGAGAGTGAAATAATTGACTGATCTTTTTACTTTTCCAACTTAATTTTTCTGCCTCTGGACAACACTTTTGGAAACATTAAGAGTTTTCATACAGCCAATGACAGAAGTAAGAGAGAAAAATAATGCACTTGAAAATATTGGATAAGTGGTTTCTACAAAACTTGTTCATTGATTCTGTTCATTGGGATGTAAATAGTTTACAGGTTTGAGGCATCAGTGATCAATAAGAAAGACCAAAAAAAAAAAAAAAAAGAAAGGAAGAAAAAAAGGAGAGAAAAAAAACAGAAGCAAATAAACAATGTAAGAGAAGAGTAGATGTTATATCTGGATGGATTATGAGATTCCATTACATTTTCAAGGTGCAGAATGAGATATTGCACAGGTAAGTGTGGATTTACCTAGAGGGGCCATATTTGAAGTCATATCAATGGATAAGTTTTAAAGGGTATGTAGAGCTTTTATTTCCACATAAGCTGTATAACGTTACAAAGAACTTGCTCCCACCCTATTTAAAACAATCCAGTTAATCTATAAAAATCATAATTTTTGTGAGTCTATCTTGGAGCTAAGGTTGCATTCGTCTAAATAATCTCAATTCCAAGCAGAGACAAGACCCTTCCAAAAGGAAATGGGAGATGAACTGTTTGACTTTTGGCAAAGGGTGAGAGAAAGATGAGGCCATCGTATAGGCATGTAAAAATAAATCAGCGAAATTTAAAAAAATCTTAAATCCAAATATGTACTTTTGAGAAAATCAGAAAGTTCTAGAATGAAAGGATTTATATTCACGATTAAAGTTTTATCTGTCCTGCTCTAGGTGATGGGGGAAAGTTCTCTGCTCATAGAGCTTACATGATCATAGGGGAAAACAAACACAAAATAAAAGACACAAGAAAAATATATAGAATGTCAGATGAGAATAACTGCTATGAAACACAAATGAAGGTTTGAAAGAGGGTGTGAAATGTATTAGTTTTAATAGGGTGGCAAGGAGTTCTCTTGTTAAGAAAAGGATAAGAAAAACCATCATGCAGTTATTTGTGGGAAAGAAGTTTCAGGAAGAAGAGAAAAATGGAAAAACTTCAGGCAGTGTTTGTACTATTGCTTAGAGAGAAGAGCTGGGAGGTCATGGAGTAGAAACAAAGTGAGCGTGACAGATGGATAATAAGAAAGGAGTTCATAGATTTAAGAATTGAGGAAATCATTTTTTAACCAATGAGCACTTATAAACCTCTTGGCTTTTATTCTTATTGTGATGAAATATTGTGTAGGGTTTGTGAAGAAAATGTATGATCCAACCTACTGTTTAGCAGTATAACTCTGGCTCCTACATTAAGCTATGACTCAAGAAGAATAAGAATAAAATTAGGTGCATGCTACAGTACTGCAGCAATAATTCTGAAACTGATAGTTATCTGGGCCAGAATGGTAGCGAAACAAATGCTTAAGTAGACACCAAATATAGTCTATATTTAGAATCACCTTAATATGCTGATGGAATGGAAATAAAGTGTGTTCGATAAAAAGGAAATTCCAAGTTAATTTAACTTAAGTCTTTGCTTGAACAAGCAAAAGGTGGTTTTCCACTAATGTGTGCCTAAACTTTATATATTGCTAGTGCTGATCTGACAGTTAAATTATAATCATAAATTATGTTAATTACTTATATATAAAGCCCTTTGAATATTGCCTGACAATGGTAAGTGCTCAGAAAAATATATTGTTACTATTTTCATCTTGCCATATTATTTGGAAGTAAAAATAGCTGTTCATATTTTGCTATGCTGAATTACAGTTTTCTTCATATTTATGTTATATAGCATTTGTATATGACACTATGAACCAGAGGACAATGTCTTAAATTACTTTAGACAATATCCGATATAAAATATACTATACACTAATAGGGAAATTATAGGTAAAATTCGAACAATGTAAATCTTTCATATTGCACATAGATTATTGTATGTTTTTTTAATAATATTATTTAAATATGTTTTAGCTTATATTATAAAGATGATAAGGTAGTCTTCATTAAATTAGAATTTAAGCAACGTCTTAGCCTAAGTGTTGTCTACAAAGTGATAGATTCTGTTGACCATCTTTGCAACCCAAATTGATAGGACACATTTTCCAAATCATAGAAGTAGACGTAAATGAAAGCAAGATAAAACCATAGCTTATAAAAATGATTAGAAAAATGGAAAGAGCCTGTAAATACATAAAATTATATTATGCATTTATAAGATGAGAATGAGTCAAAGACATATTATTAACTAATAAATGTTGATTAAATACTTATTTCTAATTGCAAAAGAAAACAAATAGGGGGACCTATAAATATATATTCTGGACAACATGGATATCAAAGGAAAAACTAAATCATAATAATTTTATATGGTATTAATATTTGATAAGCAAAATTTTGAAATAATAAAGTAGAGGAAATGGTATGTATTTAAATGAAGTGAATAAATTAGTTGACAGTTTGCATTAGTGAAATTTCATTAAAATAGTAACTCCTAAAATAGAGGTTACAGTCCATTTTAAACATTCAAAATGCACTTAGAAGAAATCAAATATAATTGTACGAAGATAACAAATTTCACAAGATTAAAAAAGTATTGCTTGAATGAAAACTAATAACTGTTACAAAAGTGTAAACAGAAAAGACAAATACTTGGAAAATAAAAACTAGCTTCTAAAATATCCATTAAATAGCAGAGAAAAACAAAACTGTGATTCCAGATATGGAAGAGAAAAATTTAAAAATAAAAGACATTTTAGCACTCTGCCTGACTAAATTTGTGGGCTGTTACAACATCTGAATTCATTATCAATTCTTTGCTTTACAACTTTTCTGTATTAAGAAATTTAAAATCAATGAATAAAGCATTTAAGTCAAGGAGTTATTTTTACAACTGAAACAAACCTGTAGAAATCAGGAGAAAGGCAATGATTTTTAAAAACACACAGGATTTTAACAAAGAAGCAATTTGACACATTTGACACATTACAGAAATCCAGTTTTTGAAGTTTTGCACGCAAAAGAGATATCACTGCATGTAGATTTGTAAGTTGGTGAGTTTATATTTCAAGTCCAAAACATTGTGAAGTGAGTCTTGATTTTGTCCATGTACCAAGAAAAAATTTATATTAGAGTTGTCGATGACAACATTAAACTTGTAAATGGATACAGAAAGCTGAAAATCAGTACATGGAAAGTGATACAAATTTTGTTTATATGTGTTATATACATGCACATATTTGAAACTATTGATCTAGAAGAACATGCACAAAACTCAATATTTGTTTTTCTAAAACTGAAAATGGGTTTATTAGAGAAGTAAAGAAAAGAATAATGGCTACCCCCACATCAAGAGCAGCCAAAACTCAATATTTGTAGAGGATTTCTATTTTCTTCAATATTTTGTAATATTTTTCAAATTTTCTCCAACATTATCTTAATATAGGCTATTTTTCTATAACTTAATTCTACTGAAATATTTTGCTTCTGAAATCCAAAATTGTGAGCTGCTGATTTTTGTTCTTTTTAGTTCTGTCAATTAAATTAACCAAAAATAATTTGTTAAACACAAGTTTACATTCTTGAAAAAAGGCTTTGTGCAGTAATGTAGGTCTTCTAATGATAATGGGAAGCATTAATTATTATTGCTTTAAATACTCTACAACTACCCTCTGATCAGATTTGGAGTTATTATTTATCTTGTGCACTTAGGGAAGGGAGGCTTAAGCTTTAGGTAACGTATTACTGGCTATACAGCTAAAAATGTAGCATATTTAGAATCTAATTCTTGGGAAGTTTTATTCCAAAATAGGTACTCCTACCCACTCTGCTATAATTCTTCCCCATATAATAAATGGAATAACATCTAAAACTATTATCATTGTGTCCCAAATAGTTCTTTCCATAATAAATTTATCTACAATTGAAGTATACATAAGAATTTGAATAATATAATTAAAAATGACAACCATATTTTCTTATTTTCCACATCAGTTGCTTCAAACACATATATGTAGACTGAAAACATGACACACATATTATGATTTCTAATTACCATTTGGATTTCTAAAAACATATGCCTTGAAATGTTTAAAATCATGTTTAGTGAAGCAAAGGGTAGCACAACAGAAATGCAAACAAATTAAAAGATTCAATTGTTTTTATAGAGAGACTAAGAAAATACCCAACAGGAATGAAAGAAAAGATGAGTTTAAATGTTCAGCATTCCTGCTATATTAATTACCTGGAGTCCTGTCTTCTCTGCATGACTCTGATGACAGCATTTTTCACCTCTTTGTTTCTAAGACTATAAATGAGTGGATTCAGCACGGGAATCACAATAGTATAAAAAACAGAAGCCACTTGATCTCTTCCCAAGGAATAAGACTTTCTTGGTTTTAAATAAGTAAAAATCAGAGTGCTATAAAAGATGGTGACTCCCAAGAGATGAGAGACGCAAGTAGAGAAAGCTTTCTGCTTTCCTGAAGTGGAATTAATTTTCAGGATGGTAAAGAGAATGAACACATAGGATGCAGATATTGTGAAAAGGGACACCATCAGGGTGGAACCAACAATAATGAATATCAGGATTTCGGTGTTGTATGTATCAGTGCAGGACAGAGCTAAAATTGGGGAAGTGTCACAGAAAAAGTGATGAATTACGTTTGAGTCGTAGAAATGCAATCTGCTCATGGAAACCACGTTGACAAAGGAGTCTATAAAGCCAATCACATAAGGCCCAGTGATGAGAGCGAGGCAGAGCCTTTTGGACATAATAACTGTGTAGTGTAGAGGACTGCAGATCGCTGCATAGCGATCATGGGCCATTGAGGAGAGAAGGTAACATTCAGCAGTACCCAAGAAGGCAAAAAAGAACATCTGGGCAAAGCAGCCCGTAAAGGAAATATAGTTGGAAGTCAGTAAGTTCGCTAAGGTTTTAGGTGTGACGACAGTTGAGTAACTGAGGTCAATAAATGACAGGTGAGTAAGGAAAAAATACATGGGAGTGTGAAGCTGGAGGTCCAGGCGGATTATCAATATCATCCCCACATTCCCCAGCATAGTAATTAGGTATATCAGGAGAAATAGCATAAACAGAGCCATCTGGATCTCTTCAGAAAGTGTCAGTCCCATAAGGATGAAGTCAGCCACATTTGTGTTATTCCTTCTACCCATCATGTTCACCTGCTCTAAACTGCTGAGAAATCAAAGCTGATACGTAGCAGGGGCGCCTGTAATCCCAGCTACTGGAGAAGCTGAGGCAGGAGAATTGCTTGAACGCGGGAGGCGGAGGTTGCAGTGAGCCGGGATCGCACCATTGCATTCCAGCCCTGGCGACTGTGCCAGACTCTGACTCAAAAAACAAAAAACAAACAAAAAAAAACTTTCTGTTTATATGAATGGCATATCATTTAAAAATTAGCTTAGCCTTCTATAAGTTGCTAATAAATTTATAGAATATGACTAAAGAAACTAATTTTATTGCCAATATTGATGTAAGTACAAATTAACATTTGCATATGTTACAATAAAGTGTAGCATGTAGCATATTGCATAATTAGAATGAACCTGACATTGTTCTGAATGACTTCCTTTATTAACACATTGAATCCACCTGAAAATAGTATACCTTAGATACTACTATTATCCACATAGTTTAGGTGAGGAAAAAAAGAGTATGGAAGGTTGGAGTAACTTATTCAAAGTCGGATCTATTCAATGTTGACACTGATTCTACCAAGATATATTAACTTCAGAGAGACGGCTTATAATACTATACTCTTGTTTATAAATAATTTCAGAAAACTTGAGAAAAGAGCTAGACATGTAATAAAAAATGACAGGAAACCGTTTTATTATATCATTTACTCCCCTTTTGTTTCCAATATTATTTAATAATAATTTCCAATAAATTTCACCCTTGGGGATTTTAGTTAGCTACATTAAAATTATAGACAATATATAAGCATTAATTTATAAAATACGTAATGTTTTCCTGACTTAACTAATCAAAATCTAATTTCTTCCAAAAATTATATTTTCAAAGTATATACTTTGCTTGTAGACTCTGATTCTGTCAACTCTACATTTGTTTCAAAAACCTTGACATTACTTAGGGTAAAGACTAAATGATATGTGTATGTATTAATATATTATTCTGATAAAGTCTGCATTTTATTCCATCTGAAATAAAATCTGGAACAATATCTTCCAATTTTGAGAATAATACTTACTGTGTGTGAGTCAACATTCATTAAAAAGGTTTCTTCTTATATTATCTGTCTGGAAATTTGTCAACCTCAAATTTTTGTTATAAATAAAATATGAAAACTGAGGAAATGAATTTTTTATAATATTTATTTTACTTGAGATAAGTTGTTTTTACATTTTGGTGTATTCATTATGTTTTATTCTGAGTTAAAATAAACCAATCTAGAAATTTTGTTTAGGTTCTGGTCTAATGGAAAGATTACCAAGAAGTTATTTGTCAAAGAAGACCAGCAGCTACTGTGACCACAAGGAGATTATTCTTTCCCTCTCACTTGGATAATTCCAGAGGATCTCATATACCAGAGGCTGATGACAATGCACCTTTTGGTAGGCCCTGGGGACCATTTGCCAAGGCAGATTGTTTGGCATGTTTCCAAGCACAAAAGTTCAAGGACTAAATGTAGCCTATCTTGGTGTTTTCTTGTGATGTTCTCAATATTTTACAGGGGTGGTGGAGAAGGCATTTCCAGAAAAAATAGTTACTCTATGACTGACACCATCAAAGATGGAATAATACATTTTTCACAATTAAATTTTTAAATATTTAATTGTGCAATTTTAATTTCACAATTATTAAAAATAATTAAAAATCATAATCATAAATAATAAATTATTTTGATTTATTTTTAATAAATACTGAAAAATAATAAATTAAAAAATAAATTTTAACAGTATGATACTATTATAGAAGTAAAACAATTAATTAGAAAAGAATCAGAAGGTAACAAGATTCATAAAAGTAAATGAACACAATTCAAAACTGTCGTTATTTTAAAATTATAATTTTTCCTAATTATTTTCCTTTGTTCATTTATTGCTTATTTGTACATGTACTGAAAGATTGCATAACAATTATTGTACTATATATTCAGTGTCTTTTGCTCATTTAATAACCAAAATTTTATGCTATGCCATGAGCTATATTGTATTAACCTTTTATCAACCGCACAATTCTACAGTTCATGTATTGGTTAGTTTCTGATAACTTACTAAGCTAATTATGCGTTCACCAGCTGATAAATAGACATTTTGAAGCATTACCAAAAAATGCTACAGGTTATTCATTGTGGTGTGGTGGTGTCACCTAATTCATCTACATGCAATATTTGTGCAATATGTTTTGCTGTTTTCATGTCCTTTTAAAAATTTTATGAAACAAAAGTGAGAGCAGAAAGACAAAATCAGCCCTGAGACTAATAAACATTTTATAATTAATTTAGTAGCCCAAAACTTCCTCTGTATATAATCAGGTCAAACTTTTTCTTAAATATGAGTTAAAAATTCAAATATAAAAAGAGAACTGAAATATTCTACTGAGAATTATTTGTCCAAGATGAGGAAGCAAAGGAAGAATCTGAAACAATATACAATGTGAATCAAAGTAAAATATTAAAGTGGATCTTAAGTCATGACAATAAAGTCAATTTCATGTAAATGTTTATTTATTTATTTTTTATTTTTTTATTATACTTTAAGTTCTAGGGTACATGTGCACAACATGCAGGTTTGTTACATATGTATACATGTGCCATGCTGGTGTGCTGCACCCAGTAACTCGTCATTTACATTAGGTGTATCTCCTAATGCTATCCCTCCCCCATCCCCCCACCCCACAACAGGCCCCGGTGTGTGATGTTCCCCTTCCTGTGTCCAAGTGTTTTCATTGTTCAATTCCCACCTATGAGTGAGAATATGCGGTGTTTGGTTTTCTGTCCTTGTGATAGTTTGCTGAGAATGATGGTTTCCAGCTTCATCCATGTCCCTACAAAGGACATGAACTCATCATTTTTATGGCTGCATAGTATTCCATGGTGTATATCTGCCACATTTTCTTAATCCAGTCTATCATTGTTGGACATTTGGGTTGGTTCCAAGTCTTTGCTATTGTGAGTAGTGCCGCAATAAACATAAGTGTGCATGTGTCTTTATAGCAGCATAATTTATATTCCTTTGAGTATATGCCCAGTAATGGGATGGCTGGGTCAAATGGTATTTCTAGTTCTAGATCCCTGAGGAATCTCCACACCGTCTTCCACAATGGTTGAACTAGTTTACAGTCCCACCAAAAGTGTAAAAGTGTTCCTATTTCTCCACATCCTCTCCAGCACCTGTTGTTTCCTGACTTTTTAATGATCGCCATTCTAACTGGTGTGAGATGATACATTGTGGTTTTGATTTGCATTTCTCTGATGGCCAGTGATGATGAGCATTTTTTCATGTGTCCGTTGGCTGCATAAATGTCTTATTTTGAGAAGTGTCTGTTCATATCCTTTGCCCAGTTTTTGATGAGATTGTTTGTTTTTTTTCTTGTAAATTTGTTTGAGTTCATTGTAGATTCTGGATATTAGCCCTTTGTCAGATGAGTAGATTGCAAAAATTTTCTCCCATTCTGTAGGTTGCCTGTTCACTCTGATGGTAGTTTCTGCTGCTGTGCAGAAGCTCTTTAGTTTAATTAGATCCCATTTGTCAATTTTGTCTTTTGTTGCCATTGCTTTTGGTGTTTTAGACATGAAGTCCTTGCCCACGCCTATGACCTGAATTGTATTGCCTAGGTTTTCTTCTAGGGTTTTTTTGGTTTTAGGTCTAACATGTAAGCCTTTAATCCATCTTGAATTAACTTTTGTATAAGGTGTAAGGAAGGGATCCAGTTTCAGCTTTCTACATATAGCTAGCCATTTTTCCCAGCACCGTTTGTTAAATAGGGAATCCTTTCCCCATTTCTTGTTTTTGTCAGGTTTGTCAAAGATCAGATAGTTGTAGATGTGTGGTATTATTTCTGAGGGCTCGGTTCTGTTCCATTGGTCTATATCAGAGATATACCAATTTCATGTAAATTTTAAAGTGAGTCTAGAAGGAAAGCATGCCCATAATCTAGAATTTCAGGAGATAATCTGTTGGTAGGTATAAAGCAGCTACATTTGTATGTATTTATTGTACCTTTGGTGAGCTTTGAGAAGGGCGATTGTATTCATCAGAAATTTAGTGATCCGGAGACAGGTTGATTTGAAGATTTAAAAGCCGATATCACACTCTTTAACAATAGATGACATTAGGGTTTAAGCCAAATAAGAGGCAAAAGGTGACTATGTCAAAACTACCTCAATAGGATTGGTGATCGTAAAATCTCCGTGAGCAAGGAGTTTTCTTGCTCAATGCTTTTCTAACATTCAAAACCATTTTGTTCAGGTTCAGAGTTGTTTATAATGGCAGGAAAATTATTTTACTATTTACTATGTCATTACAGAAGCCTAATTCTGATCAGAGATTTTAAATCTCTTTAAATGATGAAATAATGTAACGTTCTAGGTTATTATATTTTTATGATTTATTTATTTATTTAGAGGCAGAGTCTCGCTTTGTTGCCCAGGCTGAGTGCAGTTGTGCTATCTCGGCTAATAGTAACTTCCACCTCCTGGGCTCAAGCCATCCTCCTGACTCATCCTCCCAAGTAGCTGGGACTACAGGTGCTCGCCACCAGCTCGGCTAATTTTTTATATTCTTTGTAGAGATGGGGTCTCCCTATGTTGTCTAGGTTTGTCTCGAACTCCTGGGCTCAAGCAGTCTTCCTGCCTTGGCCTCCCAAAGTGCTGGGATTACAGATGTGCACAGACTTAGTTCATTATATTTTAAACTATGTTTCTTATGCTTTTTCTGTTCTCTTTTTCAATCTGTCTCTCTCTTCTGCATTATGTTTACTTTTTTTTCATCTTTGGCTCAATTAAAAAAATTACTTTTTTGATAGATTTTGTTCAAATGCTTATTAACTTGCTTAATCATTAGTTATTTTAGTTATTTTTTGTTTTAACATTTTATTTCCCCTACTTTATCAGGTTGGATTCATGATTTTTTCTCTACCACCTAGTAAAAGTATTTTCTTATGGTTACCTGTTTAATAATACCAGAATTTAATGTTTGTATTATTCACCCAGATGTCACTTTTCACCTATATACATAGTAATCTGAATTGTTCCTATTGTGGCATATTATATAGTCTAAAGTTAAAATTTTCATTTCTTATTTGACTAAGATTAACCTCAGAGATGCTTAGTCATTAAGTTATTGAAATCATAATAAAATTATGATTCTAAGTTTTTAAAATTGTGAGTTAAAATTATTTATATCTTATAAATATTTATTTATTTATTTGGAGTTTTGCTCTGTTGCCCAGGCTGAAGTACAGTGACACAATCTTGACTCACTGCAGCCTCTGCCTCCTAAGTTCAAACAATACTCCTGCCTCAGCCTCCCGAATAGCTGGGACTACAGGCACACCCACCACACCAGACTAATTTCTGTATTTTTTTAGTAGAGATGAGGTTTCACCATGTTGGCCAGGCTGGTCTTGAACTCCTGACTTCAACTGATCTTCCTGCCTCAGCCTCCCAGAGTGCTGGGATTACAGGTGTGAGCCCCTGCATCCAGCCAATGTATATTTTTTACTGCATTGCATTGTGGTTATGACTGCTTTAAGTTAGGCTTTCTAAATTTATAAATTACTTTTAATAAACTACTATAAATTACACATAGATTGTGGGAAAGAAAAATTCAAATGTTGATATGCAAGTCTGGTCTTTTCTATTAGAGTATTTGTAGATTATAGATTCTCAGCAGGGGGAAACAAATAAATACAAAGGTCAGTGATAACAACATATTGGAAGGTAACATGTACTATAAATGAAATAAAGGAAATGTAAAACAGCATAAAAGGTGGGAGGGGTGTTCAGAAACAGGGGCATGAGGAAGCAACCAAAATGGAGGACAAGGTGTATCTCAGTGAAAAGATGACAGGTGAGCAAAGACTTGAAGGAGGGAAGAGTTAGTCATGTAGGTACAGGGTGGGAATGTGTTCCACACGGATGGATCATTAGGGCGAAGGACCTGTGAAAAGGATGGACCGGGTAGTTGAAGGAATGACAAGCAGTACTATGAGGTAAGAGTGCTGTGAAGAAAAAGTGGAGATAGCGCATGGAGACTTTTGAGCTTTCTTTCTTAAAAAATAATTTTCAGAAAAGGCTGCAATGATGGGGCCATATTGAAATAAGTGAAACAGAGAGCCATAAAAATACCCAGAGACTGAATTTCAGGCAAGTGGAAGAGTAAAAGCAATGTTCTATAAAATTAGTTACTTTGTCCTAATGTTTTGTATCACTTTACTTTAGTAAAAATTGTGTAAGCAAAATAATATACTGAGTTCTGAACAATCTTTGACTTTTTAGAGGCATTCATTACCATGAATAAATATAAAAGTTATATAGTTCTCTAATACATTTATATTTCATAATGCTAACATTTCTGTACATTATTTCCTAAACTATATTTTTCTTTTGTATCTGTTATCTTTAGCTATTAATTTAAGACAGTTTTTCTACCCATCCTTCTCTTCCCCTATTTTAAAAGGCAAATATCTCTGCAAATTCCAGCCATTCTATACTAGTTATTCCAAGTAACAGACAGTAACTTTGAATTCATTTTAAATGGACCTTTAATCTTAATATACAGCTATGAGAATGAGTCAGAATCTCTATGATATCAAAAATCAATTTTACTGAATTTAGTTTATTTTCATTGACTAATTTGTTTCTTCAGAAGTTTTTGAAATCCTTCTTGAAATGAAACAAGTTTTAAAAAGAATTTTTAAAAACTTTTGATACAAAAATTTATCTTAAAGTTAGTGAAATAGAACACAAACTCAAGGAATACAAATGGTAGACAGGAACATTACAAGGGCACCACTGATTAAACAGACAGAACCAAAACTATGTATTTTTATTTTGAAGCCTTATGCATCAAACATATTTTAAATTGAGTGTTTTTGTTCAGCATATTCAAAAAGGAAAGAGATATCTGGACTATTGCACAGAGTAGGATACTGCCAGGGACTTAGTTTCAAAGACTACAATTAATCTTCTGATGTGGGAAAGATCAAGAGTGCTGGAAGAGTGAGGCACAAGGAATGACTGGAAAAAAGGCAAGGTTTATCCTGGAAAGACTTGCATTGCAGGATCTAGAGGGAAGGTGCACACAGAGCAACTAGAGAGAATGATGGAAGATATTAATATACTAGGGGAAATTGTGAGAAGCATATTGAGAAGAGTATGTATGGACATTTAGGCACAATTTTGGGTAAATAAAATATGTTGTTATGTGTTTAGATGAGCAAAAAAAAAATGTGGTATGATTTTGCTCCTAGAAACAGATTAGCAATAAAAATGTTAATAACTTTCAAAGATAAATTTGGTACATAATTTTATTAATACTAAGTAAATAAGAATATTTGAAATTATCTATAGAAAAATATAAATTCAGTACAATTAAAAGTAAAAATGCATACACTAGAATCAGGGTAAACATAATAAAGTGTAAAAGTCATGATGTTTTATACACTTATAAAAATGATCATTTTATTTAGAATGTATGAATGTGTAGTGGTAAAGTGAATTTCCATTTCCCTCTGAAGTTTCAAGTCGGCTGTAATGATCTGACAATAGATAAACAGGAGAAAAGGCATGCACATCTATTAATCTGCATAAGCACAAGAGCCACTCAAAATATGAGATTCAGAGAAGTCTTTGATGACCCAGGCACAGGTGGCATCTGTATTCTATACGATTGTCATTCCCATGCTGAATCCACTCATCTACAGTCTGAGGAACAAAGATGTGAAAAATGCTCTTCTGAGAGTCATACATAGAAAACTTTTTCCATGACAAATTTATGTATGTTACAATTAAAACAAAGGTGGATGGCTTCAGGAATTCAGTTATGCCAACAACTAGGAAAATAGTAGAGTAACCTCAAAAAGCGTAACACAAACTAAATGAGAACTTAGAGTCTTGAAGTTTGTGAATTGAATTATTATTTCATTTGTTTGTATGGACCACTAACTCACTGTATTTGGAGGTCAATTCGGCATATAAATTATTCAGACATAGACATGTACAAGGAAATAAGAGGCACCTGAACATGCATATACAAGCATGCCATCACACCGAAATATGTTTAAAATTATTACATTAAGAACATGCAATTTTTGTCATTCTGTGCCCAGCTTATATCACATAACTGGATTGTTTGTATTAGACTGCTGCAAAAGTAATTGTGGTTTTTTGTCATTAAAAAAAAAACAACAAAAACCGCAATTACTTTGCACCAACATAATAACTCAATGGATATGATTGAGGCCTAAATACCCTTTTCACAGGGGAGAAATGAATGAACCCAAAGCATAGACTGTTTATAAATGATTCTAGTAGGAAACTGAATGGAACCAGCAATTTAAGGGAAGGGACAGAACATTGTTGTGAACAAATGCCATCTATTATGCTGATAAAATCTCTTACATAATCTCTTGGAGATCCCTTCAGAAGAATAGATGAACCCTATGTGTGAGTATGGTGACAACTTTTAGTCTCTTCTCTTCTTCAGTGGTTAATCTTTCCTAGTTAATTAATGAGATACTAGAGAAGGCATTTAAGACAATTACTTTTCTTTTTATTGTTGTTTATTCATTTGCTTTATTTTTTAATTATTATTATACTTTAAGTTTTAGCGTACATGTGCACAATGTGCAGGTTAGTTACATATGTATACATGTTTCAGAAGATGTTTCCTCAGTCAGGTAAGAAAATTCCAGAGCATGTCCTTCCCTGTGCTTGCTGGGAGGGAAACAGAGAAGGTTAACAAGTCTTTGGCTCCAAGGCAGCTTCTAAGGCCTTGCAATTTCTTATTTCAAAGTGATCAGTATGCCAAAGCATCATTCTTTGCGATATCATTTTCTAAGCCCCAACCATGTGCACACCCAGGTCCATTCACATGAGCTATCTTCAGCCACTACCAAGACTGAAGACTGATATTCTCTTTACAGAAGTAGGTTTGTGACTATGGAGAGATGAGAATTCCTAATCAGTTGTCTTCTATTATTTAAATTCATATATGCGGCATACAGCTTTGTATATACTTAGTTCCATATTCTAGCCATTCTGAAAAAAAAGTCATTTGGGAAGAAATATATCTGTAAATCACTATGCCATATTTAATATATGAATGAGAAATGTTTGAGAAAGAATTCTAAAAATAGAATTTCTAACTAAACTGACGTTTGAATAAGATTATGTACAAAACTGCACCAAAGAAATATACAAATATGAGTAAGACAGACACTGTGGCCCTAATGAATTCATCACTGTGCTTCCACACACAAACGAAAACAAAAGAAAATATTTACTTATATACTTCGTATTGATACATTTGCTAGTTGTTATGAAGTGCACAAATAAGAAAAGGCAAACTTTTCTCTCAAAGAGCTTACAATCTTGCTGGAGAGTAATATTATAAGCACATACATTTTCTTTTAAAAGAGCCTCATCAAATTAATCTTCCATTCCTTTCAACATACATATGATAGCCCAACTCTGATAATTGTTCATTCATTCATAGACATGAAAGGCAGTACTGATAAAACTTTTTCGATGGTTACCTTCTAGCAACACCTGGGAGAGTTCGTTAAATCAGGTTTAAGTCTCTTTGCAAGAAAAGCACCATCTCTCCACCCCACACACACGAACACATACACACACATTTTCTTCCTTTAATACTGTAGATTTAACAATGTCTTTTTGTTTGATTTGGTGATGCAAGAATCTGTATAAATCCAAAATGATCTAGGGATTATGCCTCAGCTAGTGAGACATTCTATGAGAAATTAAACTCTGCTGTTTTTATTAGAAAAAAATGCCATAAACTGATCACTTTTCTATGTAAAAAAAATTGTGTTCATACATACATGATCAAGAACTTAACCGTTAGGGGCAAATGACTCCATATTATCAAGAGATTTCTCCATACTGCCTGGTGTCTGTTGTTCCATTAGTGTTTGCACTGAAATTACTTCAATCGTTTATTTTTCCCTGTGGCTAATATTGCTTTTTTATTTTTGTTTGTTTCTTTAGTTCCAGACTCTTTGCTTTCGGGTGATCAGCATTTTATATTTTTTGTAAAATTTAACTGTTCTTATCTCTTAATCTTCCAATTTCTTATTCTCAATTTACTAGTAGCTGAGAAAACAGTGTAAGTTTATATTGCCAATTTAATATTTTTTTTTACTTTTTAAGGTTTTTTTATTTTTAATTTTTGTGGGTACATAGTAGATGTCTATATTTATTGAGTACGTGAGATATTTTGAAACAGACATGCAATGTGAAATAAGCACATAATGGAGAATGGGTTATCCTTGTTATCAAGCATTTATCCATCGAGTTATTATGTTGGTGCAAAGTAATTGATGTTTTTGCTGTTTTCTTTTTTAATGACAAAAAACTACAATTACTTTTGCAACAATCTAATACAAACAATCCAGTTATGTGATATAAGCTGGGCACAGAATGACAAAAATTGCATGTTCTTAATGTAATAATTTTAAACATGTTTCAGTGTGATGGCATGCTTATATATGCATGTTCAGGTGCCTCTTATTTCCTTGTACATGTCTATGTCTGAATAATTTATATGCCGAATTGACCTCCAAATACAGTGAGTTAGTGGTCCATATAAACAAATGAAATAATAATTCAATTCACAAACTTCAAGACTCTAAGTTCTCATTTAGTTTGTGTTATGCTTTTTGAGGTTACTCTACTATTTTCCTAGTTGTTGGCATAACTGAATTCCTGAAGCCATCCACCTTTGTTTTAATTGTAACATACATAAATTTGTCATGGAAAAAGTTTTCTATGTATGACTCTCAGAAGAGCATTTTTCACATCTTTGTTCCTCAGACTGTAGATGAGTGGATTCAGCATGGGAATGACAATCGTATAGAATACAGATGCCACCTGCGCCTGGGTCAGCGATGATGTGTTATCAGGTTGCAAATAGGTGAAAATCAGAGACCCATAAAAGATAGTTACAGCCATGAGGTGGGATGCGCAGGTGGAGAAGGCCTTCTGCCTGCCTGCTGCTGACTGGATCCTCAGGATGGCTGAGATGATGATGATATAAGTGACTGTGATGATAAGGAGAGAGCTAAGAAGAGTGAATCCAGCTAAGACAAAGCTCACCATTTCTGTGCCGAATGTATCTACACAGGAGAGTGCTAAAAGAGCTGTGGTGTCACAAAAAAAATGATTGATGCTGGAATCACAGAACGCCAAACTGCTTATCACCCAGACAGATATCAGCGAGCTTGTGAAGCCTATCACATATGGCATTACTCCCAGCCAGTTGGACACTTTTTGGGACATGACTACTGAATACAGTAAGGGATTGCAGATTGCTATGTAGCGATTGTAGGCCATTGATCCCAGAAGGAAACACTCACAACACACCAATCCAACAAAAAAGTACATTTGAACAAAGCAGCCAACAAAGGAGATGGATCTCCGATTGGATTGGAAATTCACCAATGCCTTAGGTGTTACAGTAGAGGAGTAAAATATGTCAATAAATGCTAAATTGCTCAGGAAAAAGTACATAGGGGTGTGAAGCTGAGAATCCATTCTGATTAACGTGATCAGTCCCAGGTTTCCCAAAACAGTGAATAGATAAATGAAGAGAAACATCAAGAAAAGACTGACTTGTAATTCAGGGTGATTTGCAAATCCAGAGAGGATGAAGACGGTAACCTCAGTGAAATTGTTGCCAGCCATTTACATCAACTCAGGCCTTTGACTTACCTGCTGAATAACAATAAGGAAAGTTAGAGAAGGATTCAAATCTAAAGGCCCTATAATCAAATTTGACTTAGACTCCAATCATGAAAGTTTTACAAATGGAAAGTAAAATTTAATGACCTGAAGTTAGCTAGAGATTTACGGATAATTTTTATTTTTTATAAAACTGAAAACTTACAGACATTAATACAGAAAAAAACTCAAATTCACGATTGTGTAGACTAAAAAATACATGTCTGGAAAGATGTGTAGAAATTCCTCCTAAGATGTACCATTCTCTACCCCTGTCTGTCATTGGGTCTGGCAATTTATCTAATGAAATCAATTGTATCTAACAAATATAGCAAATTATCAAATGAAATTAATTGTATCTAATGAATATAGCAACTTATCTAATGAAATCAATCTGTATCTAATAAATATAGCAAGTTATCTAACAAAATGAATTGTATCTAATGAATAGAGCAGTTTATCTAATAAAAAATTCAGTGAGATAAGACCAAATGAGGGCCTTCATCTATAACATAGTTTAAATTCTTTCATGTATGTTTGTTCAAACAACATGATTGTTTCTAGATATATTGCATATATTAATCTATGACATCAGGTGCTAGCCAATTCATTGCTGAACAGCAGTTTTTAAGACAATGATATAAATAAATGTTAAAAACAGTAAAACAAACCTGATTTGTTACATTTAAAAATAAGAATTAAATTATAAGGTGGGCATGCTAGAAACTAAAGAACTTTATTGCCTAATTAACTTAACATAAATATATGACGAATAAATGCATTTGAAACTAGCCCGCCAAGCAAAGTTAAATAATCACCTTTGTTTAGACATTTAGCACTCTCCTTGAGTAACCAAATGGGACTTGATAATAATTATTATCAATAATAATAATATAACATATTATTCTTATTATATATCACATGTACTTAATCATTTAATGTGTTCCATGGTCACAGTGTTCCTATTTATCCATTCATTTACTTGACAAGCATTTATTCAATGAAGGCATTTTGTCTTGCCTGTCATGAAGGGCATTTTTCTTAAAGCCTAATGTAAGATGCAGACATTAAAAAAATAACAAGTTTCCCAATGTGAGAAACATGCAAACTATACTCACAGACAGACAGACACACAAATTTTAGGAAAAAGCAGATGAGAAAATTAGATGTACCTGGGATTCAGTCACCCAGAGGAAACATCCTATGTTTCAGCAATCTTTCACTTATTTTCAAGTTCATTATTTTTGCCTCATCTACAATGCTAAATATCAAATAACAAAAGTTGTTATTTAGTATAGAGCTCTATTTCCTGTATAATGGACCCTAAATGTTATGATGTTGATGAAAAAATGTTGATGGTTTTGATGATAGTATTAGGTACTGTATATATTACCTTTCATTGATAGGCTAGAAATAAGAGCCAAATTAACTTCTTGTTAACTTGTTTTTTGTGCACATTCTTGAGAATTAAAAATTTATATTTTTTGCTCAAGTCTGGATTCCTATTTAGAATTGTTTTTGTCTTAGTGTATTTCTAAAGCAATCCCATGACAAAAGATTTTCTTTTGAAAGCTCATGTGTTAAGCAGTATTCTTATACCTGCAACTTTTCCTCAAACTCACCTAATAAAAATGTTGTTCAATTAGCATCTTTGATCTCTTGAGATTCATATTTTAATCATACTCCAGGGTCTATTCTTAATTTGCCTAGGGTATATCTCTAATGGAAGCATTAGGAAATATATATTCCTCATTTTTGTGTTTTTCAGTTAAACGGCAGCAGACACATTGAAAAAATCAATTGATTTCGTTTTAAAAATCATGTTATTTTAATGTTATTGGTAGATATATAGACGTGAAACATGTATGAAACACTAAATTATTATGAAACTAAAGGAGACATATGATATTAGGGAATCTCAGATAGCATTTGTCTGTTTCCCAGATAACCCTCCCATGAAATGGAAGTAAGCTTTCCTACTCACTGATTTAATGCTGTTAACATGTGTTGAAATTATATTACCATCTATGTCAACAAACATGGATGTGTCTACTTTTAACTCAGGCATTCAATTATTTTTAATTGTGCTTAAAGGTATATACGTAGTATCATTGTCTGATAATAAGTATGCCATCTAGGAAAATGAACAAGAAACCTGCGGTACAAATCAAAGTCATGTTCTCCATTTAATGCTCAATTTATGAGTAAATACAATATTTCCCACAATTGTATTCACATTATCTCTTGTGTTTGTTGGTTTCAAAGCAGCTTCCTAGCCTACACTACTGTATAGATTCTGGTTTATTAGGTCTGATGTTGACCCATAAAATTAAATTTTTCAAAATGCCCCACATTACATGGCTTATACTTTGACAAATACTAGCTTGGAAGGATCTCACAGACTTGTCTAATGAAATTCTTCTTCTACTGTGATTGTTACAGTCTCTTATATCACTTATATTTTAAAAGGGCTTATTTTTTAATTGACAAATAATAGCTGTATATATTCTTGGGAGTACATAGTGATGTTTTAAAATACATAATATACAGTGATCAGATCATATATATCTATCATCTCAAACATTTATCATTTCTTTTTGTTGGGAATATTCAATATCCTCCTTCTTGCTATTTGAAACTACATAATACATTATTGTTAACTATAGTCATTGTACAGTAGTACAGAACAATAGAACACATTCTTCTTATTTAGCTGAAATTTTGTATCTTTTAACAAATCTCTCCCTAGTGTTACATAATGAAACACAACAGATTCCTTACAGGAAAAAAAATGTATATTTTTGTAGTGATAGAAACCATCTCTAATATTAGAGATTTTAAAAAAGGGAATCTATTATAGACGTGCCATATCACTTACTGATGCTCAATATTATCAGATATTAGGACAAAATAAATGGTATACAGTAGGCTCCCATTATCTGTGGTTTTACTTTCTGTTGTTTCAGTTACCATTGGTCAATCAGTCTGAAAATATTAAAAGGAAACCTTCAGGAATAGACAATTCATAGGTTTAAATGTGCTTTTCTGAGTATTGTTATAATGATTCCATTTTATAAGTAGTTATTGTTATTAATCTTTTACTGTGTCTAATTTAAAATTAATCTATATCTCAAGTATGTATGTACAGGAAAAAAAAACAGTATATATCGAGTTGGATACTATCTGCAATTTCAGGTATCCACTGGGGGTCGTAGGTTCTTTGAGGATAAGGAGAGACTACAGTAATTTCTTCCCCCACTAAGTGCGCAACTTGAGAAAATAAAACTTTGAAAGAATTGGGTTGTACACCTGCAATGTCAATGTTTCATCTACCCTCTTACTTATTTGTTCAACACAAATTGATTAAGCAGCCGTTGGATGACAGGCATTATGCTTTGTGTGAAACATGAAAATAATATTTCTCCTTTCACACTACCTAGTGTTAATTGCCTCTTTCAAGATTCAAATTTTGTCTCAGCTATTTAATGTTCTGATATTTGGTGAACTAATATGTATAGTGGTCACAAATACACAGTTGATATAGGGACTATTGTTGACCATATTACAAGATAAATAGACATTTAATAACTACTTGATCAATTGAATTTACATTTTTTCTATACATCTATTTTGGTTTCTGTCAATCAACTCTTTTTAACTTTTTTATTAAATAACTTTAGACCAACAGATTTTTTATAAACACTTCTTCTAGCTTTACTAATGTTAAAATTAATCACAGTGTGAATATTAATACTTAAGAAATTTATATTGATAAGATAATATTAGCTGAACTACAGATTTAATAATTTTACTAAATTTTCCACTAAAGTCCTGTTTTCCTCTTCCAGGATCCAATCCAGGATGCCATGTTGTGGTTATTGTCCTGCCTGCTTAGGCTATTGGAGTCTGTTCCTGTTCTATAGTCTTCCCTTTTCTTTCATGACTGTGATAGTTTTTTTAGTACGTCAAATATTTTATAGGATATTCTTCAATTGAACTTTGCCTGATGTTTTCTCCTAATTAAGTTGAGGTTTTCCATGATTGAAAAGAGTTCCAGAGAGGCAATCTGTAAACAATCCTCCATTTTATCACAGGGCATATGATGCTGATAGGTGATATGGCTAGTGATATTAAATTTGATCACTTAAAGTAGTGTGTGCCAGACTTTTTTACTGTAGAATTACAATTCTTTCTTTGTACTTATTAAATATTTATTTGGGAAAAGGTAACTTAGACTATGTAAATATTTCATTACTACTTTTTACCATTTATCAATATGTTTGTTGCTTGTAGCAATTATTACTGTGGTATTTTGGTAGAAATTTGTTATTTCCCTTATTCTTTTAATATATTGAAATTATTCATAAAGGTAGAGTTATTACTTCTCCCCTATATATTTACTTATTCAGTCTTCTATTTAAACCAATATGCACTCATAATTATTTACTCTTTGTGTTATATTCCATGCTGACATCATTTACTCTGTTGCTTAAAACTAATGGAACCACCATCTAATTGGCTCCTGGACTCTATGTTCTTTGAACATGTCCCTACCTTTTAAAATTCTTTCCATCATTGTTGTTTTTTACTCCTTACACTCTACCACACAAACTGTTCCAGGTCATCTTGTATTTTCCTGGACTCAACTCTAAAATTAACCACTTCTCTAAGAATTCTTGCTTTTATGAGACTACGGCATTTAGAAAAAAAGGATCTGAACAATATTTTACGATTATTACTTGTGTATTTATATTTTCCCTTAATAATAAATCACACATATTTTTAATACTTTTACATTCTCAACATTTTGTAATTATAACTTCAAAAAATGACTTTATGCTATAATGGAAAATGGTTATATTTGGAAATGTCTAAAGAGACATGTAAGCAGTCCAGTGAATTCTTATTAAAAGGACAATGTGTAGAAGTATTATGACTAAAAACTTTGCTCTGAGGTAAAATTGAAGATACATTAAAGGAGAACTAGGTAGGCTGCAATGGAAGACATTAGGAGGCTCTCAACAGTTAAGATTAGCGAACATTGGAGCCTGAGCTGAAATGGCAACAATGATAATTAATAAAGAAAAAGAAACTTATCCGGAGGGTTTCCGAGATACAGAATTACCAAGACCTATTCGAATAAGTATTTGAAGAAAATAAAAGAGATATGGGGCCAGGTGTGGTGGTTCATGCCTTTAATCCCAGCACTTTGGGAGGCCAAAGCCTGCGAATCGTGAGGTCAAGAGATTGACACCATCCTGGCCAACATGGTGAAACCCCATCTCTACTAAAATACCAAAAAAAAAAAAAAAAAAAAAGTAGCCGAGCATGGTGGCGCGTGACTGTAGTCCAAGCTACTCGGGAGGCTGAAGAAGGAGAATCACTTGAACCCAGAAGGCAGAGACAATGGTGAGCCGCGATCCTGCCATTGCACTCCAGCCTGGCGACTGAGCGAGACTCCGCCTCAAAAAAAAAAAAAAAAAAAAAAAAAGAAAGAAAAGAGATTCCAGATCTGTGCTCACTTGCCAGATATTTGGCTTGTGTAACTGAGTGAATGCACACATTTTATTCAAACAAAATAATATAAAAATAGAAAATGGGTGCACAGAATGTAGTGATACTAGTTTTAGAACATTGGGATTGAGGAAGTTGAAAGGCATTCAGAAAAATAACTATTTGTCTTGAATGAGATGTAAAATACTCAGATGTCCAATAAATGTGAGTATCTCTACGCAGATTTTCTTAGTTATGTTTGTTAGCTTGTGGAACAAATTGCCGTTTCACGGTATGTACAGAAAAATGCAAAATGCAAAATGGACTGAAGTTCAGAATGCTTAGTAAGTCATGAGATCTAATGAAAAAAACATATATTCTGTCCAATACTTGGTTTTGTCATCAGAAGAACAGATGAGAAGTTTCCCTTTAATTCTTAATTTTTCTGATTTTAAAAAATCACATGAAAACAGTAAAAAGGGCCGTTTTCATTTTTTTCATATTTCTAAGTTAAAGTACATTTGCTAGCCACCAGTAAAATGTCTCATTGTTGGGATGGCCTTCAGAAACCAACACACATAACCATCCATCTGATATTCAAACCTCTCCCTACAAAGTATCACCAATTGTTCACTTTAGCTTAAATCTTCCAAGTGATGTTTATCACTGGATCTTGGGGTAGTCTATATTGAGTTAAAATGTGTTTTCACGTAGCATATAAGTAGTTATTATTAAATATACATTCAATTGACTTTGAACTGCATTTGTTCAAAACTTTTTAAATTTTAATAATTGGATTCCTTTGAAGCCTATAAAACAAATTTAATCCCTTCTTTTCATGGCCTGTTTTCAATAAGAGAAAATTATAATTTGTTCTCTAACCCTTTCAATTCAATATTCTCCACATGATGTGTTTTTATTATCCTTAATACTTTCCCCTGCAAAGAACTTAAACAATTTGGAACATGTTAAATATACAATATCCACAGTTACACATATTAATTCAAGATTGACTACTAAGGATTAAAGTAGATCATAAACACTTTAATCGTAGCATAGAAACACTCCTTTTCATTTATATGTACATGGATTCTTATATCTATATAAAATATAGACATATAGATATATGAAATCAGCATTGCATAACAGAGGCTTTTATTAGAAACCAAAATTAAACACAAATTTTTAGATTGACTATGGATCTAAAGAAAGAAACCACATTCACTCACATGCTGTAAAGTTAAACTGTTTTAAGCTGTTTTAATGCATAAAATTCATGTCAGAAACATGGTCATCACAATGTACAAAAGCAAATAAAGCAAAGTATAGAGACATATTTGCTTGAATAGGGTTATTTAGTGATTGTTGGAGAAATTATCCACAATCTAAGCTCTTGCTAGACCTGATAAATTAATTTTTGTTGCCTTTTAATATTACAAGCTAAAGCTATTGGGAAAACTTTCCTAACAATTGATAGTTTGAGTAACAAATATTCAAAGACTTCTAGGTTTCTTGTAGTTTTAATGGTGTTTCTAAATAATACCCCTCTGTGTAAGTTTATAGTATTTCAGAAAGTCTATCCCCTTGAATTTCATCTCCTATTATTTAATTTAATATGCTTCTCTTTTCACAATTTTGGTCCAACGAGCATAATCTCAAATCCATTACTGAGTAAAAACACAGAGAAACCTTACTTTCTCAAATCGTTTCTCATGAAGTTAGTATATAACATGTGGAAAGAAGATCATGATCAATTATTATATTTTCATTAATTTTCACATTGTTGGTTTTATCTCTTTTCCTTTTTTGAAGATTTTATTATACAATATATTCATTATTTCTGTTTAGTTATAATAACTAAACTTTTAAATAAATACAATAATTGAATTGCTGAAGTAATTAGATTCTATACAAATTTTTGGAAAATAATTAGTCAAAATATCAAAACAGAAATGTTTATATATGTTTTACCAAAAACATGCCATTATTTGCAATCTATGAAGATGAAAATAATTCAAAAAGTGGAGCACTTTATTATTATGTTGTAAATTACATTGTTAAATGTAAAAGCCTCAAGTATATAAGACCGAGAGAGAAATACTTTGGTAGACTTAATGTCGATTTAAATTTTGGTATGTGATTATGAGATATCTTTCAGAAAGCTGCTTTTTATGTCCTAGGGACTCCCTTATTAGGCAATATTTTTGCTTTCGAAAACTTGGTTATAATAATGAAGGTAATTACTTATTTTTTGGCAAATGCATATGCTGTTATCAAAATACTTGACAATGAGATTCTTCTGAAAGCAATTATGAGCTGTATAGAAACAATGAAGTAAAAAATGCTTTAACACATTTAATTATAAATTTCCATAACTTTCATTGTCAAGCAGTCTTAAACAAATTCATAGACTTTTATAGATTTTAACAGATAAGATTTATTGCTATGAACTCTGTTTGATAGATATAAACATGCCTTTAAAACCAAAACTATTATTCACTACATATTGCAATAATATCATTTAACAAACAGCATGCTTACATTCTTAACAATTATGAGAATAACAGTGCTGCTGGACTGAGATTTGATGGATGGCCAAGTGATCAGAACCATAAACACCATCTGGAATGATAGATGAACATAGGCCATGTGGGATTCAAAGAGCCATTTTGTTAAACGTGTAACTTTTAGCATTTTCAAATGGTTGTACTCTTTTACGGAAGTTCCCTGAAGGCTGATTTTTGGTGAATTACGATATTCTCTAATATAACAGAATAGCTTTACATTGTTGTTTTGGTTTTTCTGTTAACTGGCAGAATTGGAGTCACCCTAAAGAGAAACCATCTGTGACTGCAGAATTACTTTTTAAAATAAAATATGCAAATTTTCACAATTCTAGAAAAAGATGGCACATAAAATACAGGCAGGAAATTTAAAGGCCTTTTATTAATGTAAATGAGGAGGAGGTCTGTGTACAAGTATATAAGTATAGGCATATTTGAATTCTGGCTCTCAAATATTCATGTGGTCTGATCGTGGGTGAGTTTTTTTCCCATTGATGCTTGGTTTCAAGTTCTTGTTTCAGAAGAATCTCAAAATCTGCAAAATGGCTCAGCTCTTGGACGTCACTAAGAAGAAGGAGAAGTCAGTACACTTCCTTTAACCAATATTCCTTGAGAGATGTGTGTGTGTGTGTGTGAGAGTGTGTGTGTGTGCCTGTGTGTCTGCTACATGTCTCTGTGACTGTGCAGCTACTGGTTCTTCTATATTTTTTACGAAACTGAAGATTGTATTTTATAGTTAACCAATCCACAGAAAATGGGTGACAGTTTATTGCATAGGAAGTTAGATTTTCAGAATCACAATTTGGGATTTGAAAGGATTCAAATTATACCAAAGTGGCATAAAAATATTTTTATCTGAAGACATTTCAGATTCAACAAATGCAGAAAGAAGCTTTATCAGTGCTTTTCTTATACTAAAGACAGAGACTTCTGAGACTGAAACCTCCATAAATTGCCTCTAGCGGGAGGATTTTCTGCCTGGAAGAAGAAAGGGAACACAGGAATCTGCATAAAACGAACACTATCGGAAACTTTGTCTCCTATTTGTTCTGCTAAAAGTTCATTTGTTCTTCCCATAGAAGGCTTTCTCATCCTTTGCTTTCATGTGGCAAATTAGGTATATAAACCCTGGTCTCTAATTATTGAGCCAGTTCTTTTGTGTGCCCCTATATGTGTATGAGTAAACTTTGTCTCTTCTATTGTTAATCATTCCTTTGTCACTTTAATTAATGGGCCTTCTAACTAATAAACCTAAAAGTGTAAAAGAAATGTTTCCCAGATATATGTGTGTGTATGTGTATGTGTTCACATGTGTGCATGTATGTTTCTGAAGGCTAATAACAAATGCATTTTTGCACATACACTGCTTTGAAAATAGCTTTCTGCCTCCACCCCAAAAGTCCCACATATATTTAACAATGTACTTACCGCAGCACTGATAATAGTCTTAAATGTTTCTGGCTGAAAATTCATGTTCACTGAGGAAGTATTTTTCTCTTAATAATTATTTTTATGGCTTCTTTGACTTCTCTGTTTCTCACGCTATATATTAGAAGATTTAGTATTGACAACAAAAGTGTGCACTCCACAGGCAGAATTTTGGGTCTATCCTGTGAGTATCCAGGGTTGGCTCCCAGATAAGTAAATATCACTGTTCTGTAGAAGAGAGTCACTACCATTAGGTGGGAGGCACATGTGGATATGGCTTTATTTCTGCCCCTGGTGGAATGTATCTTCAGGACAATGAGTAGGATTACCAGATAGGAACTAACCACTATCAAAAAGGTAGTCACTGATGTTGCTCCAGAAAGGACAGTAAATAAAATCTTACTGTGTTGGGTGTTGGAACAGGAGAGTTGGAAGAGCAATGGAATGTCACAGAAATAACGGTTGATAACATTGGACCCACAGAAAGACAAACTGAGTAAGCTACTCAGGTGGGTGAGGGAGTTTACAGAGCCCAGCAGGTAAGAAACAGTCACCAAATAGATTCAGAAAGTAGGAGTCATGAGACCTTTGTAGTGAAGTGGGTGGCAAACAGCGAGATACCGATCACATGCCATGGCAGCCAGGAGGAAGCATTCAGTAGTCAGGAACAAGCTGACAAAGGAATACTGAAGGAGGCAACCGTGATAAGAGATGACTTTCTGTCCTGCTATGTAATTCACCAACATTTTAGGAATCAAGACTGAAGAATAGCAGAAATCTAAGAAAGCCAACTGGCTAAGGAAAAAGTACATGGGTGAATGGAGTTGGGCACTAGCCAGAATTATTATGATAATCCAAAAGTTGCCCAAGACAGTAATGAGATAGATTAATAGAAAGAGCACAGAAAGGACAACATTCATTTCAGGGTTATCAGTCAACCCCAGGAGGATGAATTCAGTTATCACAGTGACATTTCTGTCAGCCATTTATATGGCTGCCCTACGGGGGGGATCTGCAGGGAACAATAGGAAAAATAACCACAGAGTACAGCTTGAATAAATAAATTGCAGCTATTAACTTCTTTAGAAAATACATGGTTTCAATTATAAATAATAATTATCCATGGTAAACTTGAATTTTGCATGCAAAAGTTAGCCTGATACAGACCTTTGTTGGATCTCACTAAGGAATATAAATGAACATTACACACCACATAAGAACCTGTGGAGAAATTAGAGTTTCCCTGCAGAGCTCTAATAGGAATATTTGTTTAACAGAGAGAGTTTAGGAGATGGATTCTGGGTAACAATATATTCCAGACTCCATAATACAAGGCAAGGACCTCATCCATTAATGAATAAAATTATTTAGCAAAGAACAACAACAAAAACCCAAACATCCTCAATATTTACTAGGTAGATTTTTTATACATCTGGCAAAATTACTTTCTATGATATTTAGACAGCTAGTACACACGACACATACATTAAACAATAACACAAAAGAATGTATATATGTGTATGTTTTTATATATGTGGATATTTGAATACATATACATACATATAATCTCATCTATTAAAACATATAGTTTATCTATGAACAAAGTGAGAATCAGGGGGTGTCTGGAATATAGAATTTAAAAAATCAAACATTTTCTATCATACTAGAATTGTTTATTTTTAAAAACACATTTACACCAGGAAGTCATCTTCTCCAACTCCAAGTGATATTCATCATTCCACCCTCTGACTTCCTACAGTATTTATTATCCAACAGCTTGGATTTGTCTATACCTGACATTTTCATAATTTATTTTCATTATTAATTGAGTCATGAAAGCTTTTTGAAATGTTTTAATCTCTGTAGTCAAAGTCTCAGATTATATTTCAGGGACAGAGCATGTGTATTCTGCACATTAAATCACATATGGATCTTTTTATTTAGAAAAAGTTTATTAATGTATTTTAGGTTTTATCATTTAACCCAAAGTACATGAAAAGTAAGTTTCAAGTATCTAATATATTTGGAAAACACTGGGTTACATATGTTTAAGGAAAATTGTCTTTACTGTACAAGTTTTAGGAGTACTTATACTACTGTGGTTGATAGTTTTCAAAAAGAAACAGAAACTTTTTTATATTAATTTGACAATGGCATCTATATTCACAGAACATTTATGAGGATGATAATTCACAATCCACAATCCAAAATTATTTGGGAATAATGTTTCACTAATATTGAATAAACAGTGATAAAGACATGGGCTTCGATTTCTACCTTGTACTACGAGTGTGAGGTAAAGTAAGCTATTTAATAACAATTCAAATACTGCAAACAGGCTCCAAGACAGCTTTGATTATGTCCATGTTACTGAAATTGCAAAAAGTTAAAAAGAATGACTAGTCACTTTTTACCAGAGAAACTTGTAATTTCATGCCAAACTATTGGATTCATCTATAAATCTTCCCTTAGATCTAATTGTGAGAATTAAATAAGAAAATAAGTGAAAACTTGTAGACATAGAATAATAGACATTGGAGACTCAGAAGCGGGGGAGGAGAGAGGGAAATGAGGGATGAGAAATCAATTAATGGGTAAAATGTACATTATTTGGGTAATGGTTACAATACAAGCCCAGACTTCACCATGATACCATGTATCCATGGAACAAAGCTGCACTTGAACTCCTTAAATTTGTACTAATAAAAGAAAGAAAATATGTAAAACTGTCTGGCATGCCATAGGAGCTCTCTGAACGTCTGTTGCCTATTCAAAGTAAAATGAAGAAAATAGACTGAGAAAATAGAGGTGTCTGTCCACATACTTGACAAATTACTTTTTGACTAAATTAACGTTTTTGTTCTTTGCCTTCTTTGGTTTAACATTGTTTAGCCAGCTTTGCCTTGATTGACTTTCTTTTCAAACAAACCAAACTTGTGACTTTGACTATGAGTTTCTTCTTATTTCACTAATTTCATATTTGTTTCTTTGATTTTTATTTAATAAATGATCATTTTGACCTGGACTACTTTTCACATTGTATTTTTGTTTTGCTATAAAATCAGTTACAATAAAATAATGTTTGACTCTCAAAATTATTGCTTGAAATAAGGCCAAATAAATTGCTGTTCCTTTTCTCAGATTTTACAAAATTCAACAGTTTATAATAACTTGCCTTATATTTCAAAGAATTTCTTCAAATAAATTCTCTTCTGCAACTTATATCACTCAAAGACATGAAGCTTTAAATACAACTACTTGAGGAAAATATAAAATAAACCCACAAATTATCTCACAAAAGCCAGTTGATGTTGGGAATATTGTAATTCTATTTCACTTATCTCAGTGATTGAAATGGATTTGAGGCAAATGCTTCTTTCTCATATTATACTTACAGTAGGTACTGAAAGTTGCTCTTTTTTGAAAAACAGGAGAAGGTATTTATAAACCCTTTGTTAGAACACATAAACAAGATACCTACTCGGTGTTGAGAGGAAACCCTGGCTCTTTTCTCTTAATTTCCACACTGTTGTGTTTATATTTGGCTTAGGGCCTTTGGAGGATAGACTCCCCAGTGATTTATTAAAAACTAGATTTCATTAAAACAGCTAAAAATAGGTCTGAGGAAAGTAAGGCCCCAGCACTCTTTCCAAAGTGTAGCAATTCATATATTTGGCTTTTCTCACTTTCAGAGAAAAAATTGTCATAGATGTTATTGTCTCACCTATGTAAGGCTCTACAAGGAAAAACTGGACTGTTAACAATTAATTCCACTGGTAATAATTAAAATTTACATAATTTATATGTACATATTTTAGGTGATATAGTATGTATATTATTTGTAAAGAGCTCTAAATTCCATTTGTACATTATTAGTACGTTATTAGTACGTTATTATTTGTAGTACATTATTAGTACGTTATTAGTACGTTATTATTTGTAGTAGCTATGAAAAATATATACATGTTCTAGTGTGAGAGAACCCAAAAATGTAGAAGCAATTTCTAAATAGAAATCAGATGTGTGTGTGTGTATGTGTGTGCATATGTATGCACATGTATTTATGTGAACTTTCATAGAGTAGATTGCTTTTTAATATTAGGGGCAACTTAACCAATTAGGATACTAGGAAAATTATCAGGTTCAATATTTTTCTCACTTTATTAGCTGAACATAAAAACAATTTTTTAAACTATTGAGTAGGTGAGGAGGGGCCAAGATGGAAAACACACTTCAGGATATCATCCAAGAGAACTTCCCTAATCTAGCAAGACAGACCAACATTCAAATCCAGAGAATCCAGAGAACCCCATTAAGATACTCCATGAAAAGATCTATCCCAAGACACATAACCGTCAGATTCTCCAAGGTTGAAATGAAGGAAAAAATGTTAAGGGCAGCCTGAGAGAAATGCCAGGTCACCTACAATGGGGAAGCCCATCAGACTGAAAGCAAACTTCTCAGAGGAAACCCTACAAGCCAGAAGAGATGGGAGGCCAATATTCAACATTCTTAAAGAAAATAATTTCCAACCCAGAATTTTATATCTGGCCAAACTAAGTTTCATAAGTGAAGGAGAAATACAATTCTTTTCAGACAAGCAAATGATGAGGGATTTTTGTCACCACCAGGCCTGCCTTGCAATTGCTCCTGAAGGAAGCACTAAACATGGAAAGGAAAAACCATTACCAGTCACTACAAAAACACACTGAAGTACACAGACCAATGACACTATGAAGCAACTACATTAACAAGTCTGCAAAATTAACCAGCCAGCATCATGATGACAAGATCAAATTCACACATAATAATATTAATCTTAAATATAAATGGGCTAAATGTCCCATTTAAAAGACACAGAATGGCAAGGTGGATACAGAGAAAAGACCCATTGGTGTGCTGTATTCAAGAGACACATCTCATGTGCAAAGACACACATAGGCTCAAAATAAAGGGATGGAGGAAAATTTACCAAGCAAATAGAAAGCAGAAAAAAAGGAGGGGTTACAATCCTAGTTTCTGACAAAATACTTTAAACCAACAAAGTTAAAAAAAAGACAAAGAATGGCATTACATAATGGGGAAGGATTTAATTCAATAAGAAGAGCTAACTATCCTAAATACATATGCACCCAGTCCAGGAGCACCCAACTTCATAAAACAAGTTCTTAAAGACCTACAAGGAGACTTAAACCCCCATACAATAATTGTAGGAGACTTTAATACCCCACTGTCAATATTAGACAGATCATTGAGAGAGAAAATTAACAGATATTCAGGACATGAACTCAGCCCTGAATCAAGTAGACCTGATAGATAACTACAGAACATTCCACCCAAAAACAAGAGAATATACATTTTTCTTGGTGTCACATGGAACATATTCTAAAATTGGTCACATAATTGGAAATAAAACACTCAGCAAATGCAAAAAACTAAAATCATAACAAACAGTCTCTCAGACTACAGTGCAATCAAATTAGAAATAAAGATTAAGAAATTCACTCAAAACCACACAACCACATGGAAGTTGAACAATCTGCTCCTGAATGACTTCCAGGTAAATAATAAAACTAAGGCAGAAATCAAAAAATTCTTTGAAACCAATGAGAACAAAGAGACAATATACCTGAATCTCTGGAATGCAGCTAGAGCATAGTTAAGAGGGAAATTTATAGCATGAAATGCCCACATTAAATAGCTAGAAAGGCCTCAAATCAACATCCTAACATCACAACTAAAAGAACTAGAGAACCAAGAACAAACACACAACAGAGCTAGCTAAGAGCAAGAAATAACCAAGCTCAGAGTGGAACTGAAGGAGAGAGAGAGGTACAAAAAATCCTTCAAAAAAATCCACGAATCCAGGAGCAGTTTTCTGAAAAACAATAAAGAAAAAAGATAGATTGTTAGCTAGATGAATAAAGAAGAAAAGAGAGAAGATTCAAATAAACACAATCAGAAATGATCAGGGAGATATCATTACTGACTCCACAGAAATACAAGCAACTATAAGAGAATACCATAAACATGAAAATAAACTAGAAAATCTAGAATAAATGGATAAATTCCTGGACACATACACCCTCCAAAGACTGATCCAGGAAGAAGTTGAATCCCTGAATAGACTAGTAATAAGTTCTGAAATTGAGACAGTAATAAATAGCCTACCAACCAAAAAAAGCCCAGGACCAGATGTATTTACAACTGAAGTCTACCAGAGGTACAAAGAGGAGATGGTACCATTTCTTCTGAAATTATTCCAAACAATTAAAAAGGAGAGTCTCCTCCCTAACTCATTTTATGAGGCCAGCATCATCTTTATACCAATACTTGGCAGAGATATAACAACAAAAAAAGACAACCTCAGGCCAATATCCCTAATAAACATCAGTGTGAAAATCCTCCATAAAATAAAGGCAAACTGAATCCAGCAGCACACCAAAAAGCTTATCAACCATGATCAAGTTGGGTTCATCCCCAGGATGCACAGCTGTTTCAACATACACGAATCAACAAATATAATTTCTCACATAAACAGAACTAAAGACAAAAACCACATGATTATCTCAATAGACGCAGAAAAGGCCTTCTATAAAATTCAACATCCCTTCATGTTAAAAATTCTCAATAAACTGGATATTGAAGCAACATATCTCAAAATAAGAGTCATTTATGACAAACCCAAAGCTAATATCATACCGAATGGGCAAAAGCTGGAAGCATTCCCCTTGAAAACTGGCACAACACAAGGATGCCCTCTCTCACCACTCTTATTCAATATATTATTGGAATCTCTGACTAGGCCAATCAGGCAAGAGAAAGAAATAAGGGGTATTCAAGTAAGAAGACAGAAAGTCAAATTGCCCTTGTTTGCAGACAACATGCAAACTTTTCTATGACTAGAAAAGCCCATTGACTCAGCCCAAAAACTTCTTAAGTTGATAAGCAACTTTAGCGAAGTCTCAGGATACAAAATCAATGTGCAGAAATCACAAGAATTCCTATACACCACAACAGACAAGCAGAGAGCCAAATCATGAATGAACTCCCAGTCACAATTTCCCCTAAGATAATAAAATACCTAGGAATACAGTTAACAAGGGAAGTGAAGGACCTCTTCAAGGAGACCTACAAACCACTGCTCAAGGAAATCAGAAAGGACGCAAACTGATGGAAAAACATTCCATTTCCATGCTCATGGATAGGAAGAGTCAGTATCATGAAAATGGCCATACTACCCAAAGCAATTTATAGATTCAATACTATTCCCATTAAACTACCATTGACATTCTTCACAGAATTGGAAAAAAAAAAACTATTTTAAAATTCATATTTAACCAAATGAGCTTGTAAAGCCGGAACAATACTAAGCAAAAAGAACAAAGCTGGAGGCATCCAACTTCAAACTATACTACAAGGCTACTGTAACCAAAACAGCATGGTGTTGGTACAAAAATTGGCACATAGACCAATGGAACAGAATACAGAACTCAGAAATAAAGCTGCACATCTACAACCATCTGATCTTCAACAAATCTGACAAAAAGAAGCAATGGGGAAAGGATTCCCTACTTAATAAATGGTGCTGAAAGAACTGGTTAGCCATATGTAAAAATTGAAACTGGACTCTTTCCTTACACTTTATACAAAAATTTACTCAAGATGGAGTAAAGATTTAAGTGGAAAATCCAAAACTGTGAAAACCCTAGAAGAAAATCTAGGCAATACCTTTCAGGACATACGCATGGACAAACATTTTATAAAGAAATCGCCAAAAGCAATTGCAACAAAAGCAAAAATTTACAAATGGGATTCAATTAAACTAAAGTGTTTCTGCACAGCCAAAGAAACTATCATCAGAGTAAATAGACAACCTACAGAATGGGAGAAAATTTTTACAATCTGTTCATCTGACAAAGGTCTGATATCCAGAATCTAAAAGAAACAAGCAAATTCACAGAAAAAAAAAACAAACAACCCTATTAAAAAGTGGGCAAAGAGCATGATCAGATACTTCTCAAGAGAAGACATACATGTGGCCAACAAACATCTGAAAAAAAAGCTCAAAATCACTGATCATCAGAGAAATGCAAATCAAAACCACAATGAGATACCATCTCACACCAGTCAGAAAGGCAATTATTAAAAAGTCAAGAAACAACAGATGCTAGTAAGGTAGCAGAGAAATAGGAACACTTTTACACTATTGGTGGGAATGTAAATTAGTTCAACCATTGTGGAAGTCAGTGTGATGATTCCTCAAAGATTTAGAACCAGAAATATCATTTGACCCAGCAATCCCATTACTGGGTATATACCCAAAGAAATATAAATTATTCTGTTATAAAGATACATATACACATATGTTTATTGGAGCACTATTCACAATAGCAAAGACATGGAATCAACCCAAATGTCCATCAGTGATATACTGGATTAAAAAAATTTAGTACATACACACCATGGAATACTATGCAGCCATAGAAAGGAAAAAAATCATGTCCTTTGCAGGGACATGGATGAACCTGGAAGCCATTATCTTAGCAAACTAACTCAGGAACAGGAAATCAAACACATTTCTCATCTATAAGTGGGAGCTGAACAATGAGACCATGTGGATACAGGGAGGGGAACAACACACAACGGGGCCTGTGGCAGGAGGATGGGGAGGGAGAGCATCAGGAAAAATAGCTAATGCATGTTGGGCTTAATATCCAGGTGATGGGTTAATCTGTGCAGCAATACACCGTGGCACATGTTTACCTATGTAACAAACCTGCACATCTTGCACATGTACCACGGAACTAAAATAAAATAAAATACAAATATTGAGTAGGCTGATAATTGGAGGATAGAATGACAAATATAAGAGGGGGTGAATAAGAAAAAACTACAATTAATATAGTTCAAACGCAACTATCATTAATTTAAAAACTGTCATTAATATAGTTCAAACGCAACTAAAGAATCAAACACAAATGCATAAGAACATAGCGGTGAAAACTTGGAACAAGTTTAAAATAAAGCAATAATGAAAATGAACTAATAAACATGGAGTATTATAATAAATATTTAAAAGAGTATTTTTTTGGTCTTGAAAAAAAATCAAGAAGAATCCTAATTGGAATGGCTTCTATTTATTAAATGCCTATGATTTTTCAAGCATTTCACAACTATTATCTCTAATCGCTATATGATTTTGTTTAATTATATATTTTAATTTACATGATTCACATTACTGGTGGCCCAGAATAATTTAAGAAGCTGGGTCAGGCGCGGTGGCTCATGCCTGTAATCCCAGCACCTTGGGGGCCAAGGTAGGCAGATCAACTGAGGTCAGGAGTACAAGACCAGCCTGACTAACACGGCGAAGCCCCATTTCTACTAAAGTATAACAATTAGCTAGGCATGTGGTGGCAGGAGCCTGTAATCCCAGCTACTTGGGAGACTGAGACATCACAATCACTTGAACCCGGGAGGCAGAGGTTGCAGTGAGCCGAGATCGGGTCACTGCACTCCAGCCTGGGTGACAGAGTAAAACTCCTTATCAAAAAAAAAAAAAAAAAAAAAAAAAAAAAAAAATTGTACAAGTTCGCACTTTAGGACATATTAGACTCAGAAGGGTATACTATCAAAAACGGAATATCTGAGAAGTCTAAGAATAAAAATGAGAATCTATGAATTCTGAGAATTCATAAGAAATATCTAAAACTGACGTAAGCTCTAGATGTCTATGATTCTAACAGTTGGAATTTAGATACAGGCCACATTTGACCAATGACAAGTGAAAGTTGCCATCATAGCTGGGATCGCCGTAGTCAACAAAATCTCAGATCTTAGAACATAAATTCATTGCATTGTCTCCTGGGTCTCATATAGCAACAATCATGATCATAATACAAATTTCATCATAGCCAGCCCAAACGGTGCCAGCAACGTATTTCCCTAAGTCAGGACAATTTTCACATCACAAATTCCAAGGCTACATACATGGAATAAAAACACATATTTGATAGATGTTTTCTGAGGCCACAAAGTCATGTCAGATCAACATTTGCTGAGTCCTGATTTCTTCTAGTATTGATATTGAACAGTAACCAACTTTATCTGATATGGAACAGTAAGAGTACACTCTCAAAATTTTATTTTCCTGATATTTTGCATGTCAACTAATGGGAGTGACAACAGATTATTTCACTTTTGGTGTTCTCACTTATTTTCTATTAGTTAATTGTACCAATCATGTAGGAACACTTAGGATATGCCTGACTCAGTTTCACTTAGTTTCAGAATAAACTTATATATGATTATGTTACTCATTTTCCAATCTACATTATACAAATCTGTCACCAACCACCTCAATTTCTATCAGAATTGTGGGAGTGACATTTTTCTCATTGAAGCATGTGGTTTTTGTTTAGAGTATAATACTGTAACTGTTTATTAGGATGAGTTGAAGGTGGGCGCTAAACAGAACAATAATAATTTTTCCATGAAATTCCACCCCTTCTCATTGGTGCCATTCACTTACGTAACTGTGGCTGTCAATGAGGATAAAAAAATTTAATCTAGCCTACCATGTAAATATATGAATTAATATTTTATTGAGTCTTCAGCTGTTGCATTGTGCTGCTTAGCTCATTTGTCACCAGTTAATTCAATATTTAAAACAGAATTTTAAAATATTTCATTTTATTTGAAAGTGAATATATTTTCTAGAATACTGTTATTTATATATTTTTAATATTTTTCCAGATAGGATAGTTTACAACAATTTGAGAATAAATCAATATGGGACAATTAGTATTTGTAGGCTTGATCTTATGATGATGCACTTGTACATATAATTTGAATTGAAGGGAAAACTATTGGCTTCACAGATTTTCCCTACCTAGAATGACTCTTCTGGGAATTTTTTTGTTTAATGGTGTAAAAAGGATTCTGGGAGATCTTTAAAGGAAAGAGGAAAGCGAATTTGATTATTAATGACATCCTAATGAGTTTGGAGTCATCCTTTCTAAATATGAAGTGAAAGTCTTCAGGGTAAGCTTTCTCTGAGTATTAGTGAGTCTTCCATGTGGAGTGATAATAAAACTATGACAATCTGTCCAAAATGATTTCATATGTAGTAGTGGAAACTGAGGCCAGGAATGGGGAAATGGTTTAGACTAACCATTCCAAGTGGAAAGGTAATCTAGTACTATGTTCTTTTTCTGAGTATTTTTAAGTGTATATATTTATTTTGAAGAATATCAAGCAATAAATAATCCAGGTTAATTTTTGGTATATGTATCTGTCTTTTTTCTGGATAAGGAAAGTACCAATACTTTTTGCCTTGAATGTATTTTACTTATTTCCATGCTCAATAGAGAGACCAAGGCAGCATATATTTTATTATTTATTAATTTTATCATTGTCTCTATTTGTGTATGTGTTTGAGTGTCTATATATCCCAGAAATATTTATTTTTACTCATATGAAGGAATGAAAATGTTATCAATTGCCTAGAGATAACTACCTTAGATCTTAGCCTGGTTTTTAGGTTAGTTAACATGGTAACCAGCCATGTCTTCTATGGCACATTTTTCTAGGTCTTTTTTTTCCACGGTAAAACACATGGCTCCAACTGAATAAACTCTAAGGCTCCTGTAGGACTGAAATTTTATTAAATCTGTATAGATATAATTAGACAAACCACTGTTTGTAGTCTATTTTTGGATATGGAAATATGAAATTAACAAGGAAAATGTTTCATTTCTATAGCCCTTTTCACAGCTTCCTTCACTTCCTTGTTCCTTAGGCTGTAAATCAATGGGTTTAACATAGGAACCACCAGGGTATAAAATACAGACACCACCTTTTCTTGTTCTAGGGAATACTGGGAGTTTGGCTGAATGTAACTAAAGCTTATCGATCCATAGAATAAGGTCACGGTAATCAGGTGAGAGGTGCAGGTGGAGAAGGCTTTACGTCTACCTGCTGCTTAGCGGATCCTCAGGATAGCAGCAACAATGAAGATGTAGGAGATCACCACAGTCAAAAAAGTGAGCGTGGCAATAATGCCAGAGAAGATCAAAAGCAACAATTCATTCATAGATGTCTCAGAACATGACAGCTTCAACAGTGGGGGAAGATCACAGAAGAAGTGACTGATGACATTTGGCCCACAGAAAGACAGTTTCACCAAGCCAATTGTATGTGTCAATGAGTTGATTAAACCTCCCATACATGACCCAAATGCGAGCACAATACAAACTATTTTAGTCATAGCTACTGTATAAAGTAAAGGGTTCACAATGGCCATGTAACGGTCGTAAGCCATTGTGGCCAGCAAGAAGCCCTCAGTGGTAAGGAGAGACACGAATAAAAAATACTGCACAATACATGCAGAGAATAAGATTGTCTCCCGCTCAACAAAGAAGTTCAGCAGCATTCTGGGTGCAAAAACTGATGAATAGCAGGCATCAACAAATGACAGACAGCTGAGGAAATAATACATGGGTGTGTGGAGTTTGGGAGTTACATAGATTAGAAAGAGCATTCCTATATTTCCCACCAGGGAAATGGTGTAGATCAGCAGGAACAACACGAAGAGGACCATCTTCAGTTCAGCACGATCTGTCAGTTCCAAAAGGATAAACTCAGTAACCAATGTAAAATTAACATCAGCCATGGATTTGTGTTTCTTGATGCCTGTTAATGATATGGAGATTGGAATTAATTCAGAGTAATGATACCGCAATATCAAGACCATTTGGAATTCCTACCTAGCCATGTGATATGAGTTAGTGACTTCTCTGATTGTCTTACCTATAAAATCAGAAAATTTCAACACTTTATTCAAACACAGTTTATTTACTTATTCCATAAAAAATTCCATGAGTGAAAAAAAATCGAAAAAAAAAAAAAAAACCAAAAATATTAGGGTCTTAGCTTAAGGCTGCATTTAAAATTCTGGTCTTAATGGGAACAAAAATCTAAAGTAAACTGTATTTTACATCTATATAAAGAAAAGAAAAAAACCTAAAACAGAATTAACATTTGACCCAGCAATCCCATTATTGGGTATATATCCAAAGGAATATAGATCATTCTATCATAAGGACACATGCATGTGTCTGTTCATTGAGGTAGTATTCACGTAGCAAAAACATGGAATCAACCTAAATGCCTATCAATGGTGGACTGGATAAAGATGTGGTACATTTACACCATTGAATACTATGCAGCCATAAAAAGTAATGAGATCATGTCCTTTGCAGCAACATGGATGGAGCTGGAAGCCATTATCCTAAGCAAACTAACACAGGAACAGAAAAGCAAATACTGCATGTTCTCACTTATAAAGGGAAGCTAAACATTGAGTACATATGGACCCAAAGAAGGGAACAACAGATACTGGTGCCTACTTGAGGGTGGAAGGTGGGAGGAAGGTGAGGATCAAGAAAGTACCTACTGAGTACTATTCTTATTACCTGGGTGATAAAATTATCTGTTCACCAAACCCCCACGACACACAATATATCTATATAATTAACCTGCATATGTACCACTGAACATGAAATAAAAATTGAAAACAAAAGACAGAAGAAAAGCCCAGTTCACAAAAGCATAAGAACTAAATTTGGAAATAGAATGTATGTCCCATAGAAGCCCATTTTTACACTTCTAATTTCAAATTTAATAGTTGCTAATGTCAAATGTATCGAGATATAAGAGTAACTGTACTATGGCATTTAAACCTGAAATATTCGACTAACGTCTTCATGCTTAGTTCCTACTCCACAGTTTTAAAGTTAGATATGACAAAAGCTAAGGACCGAAGGTTCGGGAGTCATCCTTTGAAAGTAACCAGAGGCCCTGGCTTCTCAGAAGAGTGCTTACTGGGAATGAGAGGAGAAGGCACTCTAAACTGAAATGTGAAATATGGCAACAGCAAGTTATAATTGGTCTTTGATATCCAATAGAAATACTTTACTGAGACTCAAGAAAAATAAGTTCTCATACTTTTTCCTGAGAAAAAGCAAAGCAAATCCATAAAATAAAGTAAACCTATACAACGTACAGATACATTTGCAATGCTTTCTTTTCATATTGCAACGCAATTCTTAGAATATGCAATGTCTTTTTCAAATAACCAATGCATATCTGTCAATTATTACCACATTTTGCCTGAAAAATTAACTTTTATTTACAAAAATACAAATGTATATAAATTGGTACCATCTTCTAGGCCTAGATTATTGTGCTTTTAGCAGGCTTTGTCCAGACTCTTAATTGGAGTACCATGTACCATTTTTTGGAATCAAATGAGAAAGAAGCCAATTCCTAGTTACTCTAAACCATATTTTAAACATTAAGTCAACAGTGTCCTACTAGATAAGCGAAATTTATAGATGACTGGCTTCCTTACATAGCCATGATACTGTACTGTACTTTCTCTCATTCAGTCTTTGGCATGCTTCGAAAAAGGGTGTCTTAATTTCCTGACCTGGGTTCCAGTAACTCAGAACACCGATTTACCTTTCTGCTCATAACAAAGTCCTGTTTGTTTAAGAAGCATAAACAGTAGAACTGGGAAGGAGTGAAGAGCACAAGGCACCGGTCTCCTTGACAGGGCTGGATTCAGCACTGGGTCTATCTACGATGGTGATCAGGGTCAACCTAGCAGCCTTCATCATCCTCCTTCTGTAAAGGGAGTGTGTGAGGACACCATGGACAGAGGTGAATCTTCCAAAAGGGTGGGATGGAGTACATTGGCTCTGGGCCTCTTTGAACCAGGTGAGGATATAAATAAATACTTCAAACAAATTGGGATACTGGCAGCTTTACTTCTCCAGAATAAAAATAATATGTTTGGTCACTTCGTTATCTTTTTACTTGAGAGATACAATTCTTGCAGAGTATGTAAAACTCAGGAAAAGAAGAAGACTACTGAAATAATGACAAACAAGCAGAGAACTTTGAGATCTGGAGCATCTACAGGGATAGGTGAATAATCCCCATGGGAATATGTAGTTATGACTTAGATTACAATTCCTCTTTATGAAAGACTGTTCCACTGAATTAAAACCCTGATATTTTTCATTATTCCAATGAAAGTTACACAACTATTTTGAAGCTAATGTAGAAAAATAGATTGAAGTGTAGTATGAGGGTGAGAACAGATAGCCAGGTTACAAGTTCCTCCTGTCCCTGTAATTTGAAGTGTTTATCAGATAAAAATATACTTTTTCAAGTATAAAATACTTATACTTTTTAATACTTTTAAAAGTATAGATATATGAACCGTTCTCTTTTCTTCATTTTAAAATGTTTTAACTAATTTGTAGAACACATATGTTATTCAAATAAGTGAGTTTAACTTACCAATAGAAGAAAAAATGTTCAATACCTCAGCTCATTTAGAAACCTCCATAACCACCTCTTCCCATGGTTTATCTCTCTGTAGTCTGCCTAAGACAAACACAAAGACAAAGCACGGACAATAATTAGTTAAATTTGTCTTAAATTTATAGTGATGCATAAATTAAGTAAATGATATTGTAATAGTTACAGGTAGCAGCACTGATATTCAAACTTATTCTTTACAATATGAGAATCATAGGTACAACTTCCTTGGCATGAAAGTAAGAGGAAGATGATCAAAACACACATATGTTTATTACAGCACTATTTAAAATAACAAAGACATGGAATCAACTCTAACGCCCATCAATGACAGACTGGATAAAGAAAATGTGGTACATTTACACCATAGAATACTATGCAGCCATACAAAGGAATGAGATCATGTCCTTTGTAGGGACATGGATGAAGCTAGAAACCATCATCTTCAGCAAACTAACACAGGAACAGGAAACCAAACACCGCACGTTCTCACTCATAAGTAGGAGTTGAACAATGAGAACACATGGCACATGGAGGGGAACATCACACACCAGGGCCTGTCAAGGTGTGGGGAAGGGAAAGCCTTAGGACAAATAGCTAATACATGTGGGCCTTAAAACCTAGATGACGGGTTGGTAGGTGCAGCAAACTACCATGACACACCGTATACTTATGTAACAAACCTACATACATGTTCTGCACTTGTATCTCAGAACTTAAAGTAAAATTAAAAAAAAAATCAAAACATAAACTTGTCAGGCCAGGCATACTGTAATCCTAGCACTTTGGTAGGTGGAGGTAGTTGGATTTCTTGAGCTAAAGAGTTCAAAACCAGCCTGGGCAACATAGCAAAACCCCTTCTCTCCAAAACACACAAAAAACCTGTGGTCCCAGCTACTCAGGAGGCTGAAGTGGGAGGTTTGCCTGAGCCCAAGAGGTCGAGGCTGTAGCAAGCTGAGATTGCACCACTATACTCCAGCCTGGGCGACAGAGTGACACCCCTTCTCAAAAATAAATAAATAAAATGAAAATGAAAAACACAATTGTATTAGAAGATAATTTTAGACAAAAAGTTTAGTTATGTATTTGTCTTAGTTCAAATTGTTGCAGGAGAAAGGAGTCAAGATGTAGACCTCAAGAGAGGGTTCCTGGATCTGATGCACAAAGGAATTCAAGGCAAGTCACAGAGTGTGATAAGAGGTAGTTCATTGAAAGCTACTCAAATACAGATCATGGTGTCCTCAGAAAGCAAGCAGAGGAACGTCTCATCTTTAAGCTTTATTTATGTTGAAATCTTACCTGTGTAAAAATGAGGCTAAGCTATGTCTACCTGCAGGTGAGCTGACATCGTAGCAAAATTTATCATTCTGTTGATTTAAAGAAAACTATCCTTGGCATTTTAGTGTCTAAGCAAATCAAAGCATAACTATAATTACCTTAAAAGCAAAGTTGTTACACAATACTGAAGCATCTAGACTTTTTTTTTATCAGAGGAGTTTGTCCTTACACGCTTTATTCAACTGCTTCCTTAACTGTAATCATCTTATGACCATGGGCAGTGACAGGGAAGGAATGTGCATTGCTAGTTTTAAGATGGAGCTGATTTTAAAGTGGTGTCACCCTGGCTTTTCTGTGTTTGTGGTTCCCTAACAAAATGGGAATAAAGTCCCTGGAGTTAATCCTCTCATTAAAAGGATATAGTACATATATTATTGAAAATTCTTCTTTGTTTCTTGAGGGATTTAGGAAACTGAAGAACTTAATGGCTCCCCTAAGGCATTTACTTTCCTGAAGTTTACAATGAATAAAAGGAAATGTGGGGCAAGTGTGGGGGGAAAACCAAATGCATGATCTCTGAAAAAATTCAATAGAATTGCTAGTGGTGCTTTCTTGGTACTCTCTCATGCTTTTAAGAACACGTTACTTGGGCCTAGTTGTCCAAGTAATAGAAAAAAAACAGCAAAAAAAAGCAATAACATAAAAATATCAAATCAATTCCATTCCTTGATTTCCTTTCCAAGAATATCATCAAAGAAAATTAAAACTACTATTTCTTAAAAGGCTTTCTTAAAATCAACCCAGTCCCCCTCTCCTGATTTATTCCTCCAGTCCTGCAGGTGTCCCCTGATGGAGTCAATATTGTGGCTTTTTCCAGCTTAAACTGTATCATGAGGGATTTTGGTGACAATGTTTCACATGTTTCTCTTACATATGTGGCTACATAAGAATGGGCCTTTATTCTTTATACTAAAAACAATTAAATTTCATCTTCTTGAATTAAAATGTATTAGTTTCCTAAATTAAAGGTTAATGGAGCAGATAGTAGGGGTGAGGACTGGGTGATATTCTAAGATGAGTTAGTACAGGAGATGATCCATTATCTCAGAAACCTTAAAACATTCTAAGTACCTATGATGCATTCTTTTTTTAAAATATAATTTATTTCCAATCTGTATATGAAGAATAAATAAATAAATATTATTTTCTCCTAGAAAATTGTAGATTAAGGAAAAAAGAATCTGAAAATACTTTATAAACATCTATATTTGCAGGCATTCAGCTGACAAGAACTTAAACAATAAACAAAACAAGCAACCCAAAATTTAAAACAAAATACAAAAAGAAACCACAGCAAATAAGTACATTCAGAAGAACCTAATGGCTTAGTTAGGATATTTAGAGTATTTCTGAGAATGCAATTGAATTTGTCACATGGAAACACTCAATAGCATTATTTCAAACTTATTTAGCTTATATTTGTCAATGTTAGGTTTTTTGTCATGTAAGAAGTCTTTTTGTGAAAAATATTATTCAGAAGTTATATTAATGAATGCATTAGGTCTCTCCATATTAAAATGTCATATTTCAGAGAAATGTTTTTTAAAGTGAAAGCTGTTGACAAATATAATACAATAAATTTTAATTATTTTAAAATGCATATAATTGAATGAGTTTTGACAAATGTGGACTCCAGGGCAATTACTAGCACAATCAAAATATAGAACATTTCCATCATCCTCCAGACCTCTTGATTTACTGCCAAGAAACCCTTCTATCCTACTGTCAAACCCAAGAAGCTTCAAATCATCACTATATTCCTATGTATGAGATTTGCTTTTGTAGAGTTTCATAAGATTGAAGTAGTTCAATGTATGTTTGTTTTTTCTTGATTTTTTTCAATCTCAACAGGTTTTGAGAATCATTCACATTGTTGCATGTATTGCTAGTTTTTTTAAATTGTTGAGTACTATTCCAATGTATGAATTTTGTACATTATGTTTATTCAGTCACCTGTTGCCTGACATATGGACTGTTTGCAATATTCAGCTATTATTTATAAAGTGGCTATAAATATTAGATTAAAACTTTTGTCTAAACATAACTCTCTGTTCTCTTGGATAAATATCTACTAGTTAAGTCTTCCAATAAGTCAACATGTATACCTATCCATTTGTTTAGCCCTTCTCCAATTTCTTGTAGCAATGCTTTGTAGTTTTGGTTTTTATAATTGAGTCTTGACTTATTTTGTTAAATTTATTTCTAAATATTTTTTTGCATTTTTATACTAATTTTAATGAAAATATTTTTCTAATTTCAGTTTCAGATTGCTTGCTAATAATATGTAGAAACATGACTGATTTTTATATATTGTTGTATGACTTGCTTAGGAATTTTTAGATACAGAATAAAGTCCCTTGAGTATAATGAGCATTATACTTCTCTTTTTCGACTTGAATGCTTTTAGTTTCTTGTAGATTTTATTGTTCATTTCTTGATTAATAATTTTTTTCTTCTTTTAAATTTTTCTTTGCTGACATTTAGGCCTGTCAGAACTAGACTTTGTTTTTGTGTATTGTGTGTTATTTAATAGGAATCTCCAGTAAAATATTGGATAAAATCGCTCTACCAAATGTAGAAAGTCTTGTTTATTATCATTTCAGGACTTTTTGCTTTGTTCTGTTTGATTTTTTTACTTCTTTCTCTTCTCCTCTGACTTCTACAATATATCCATTAATATCATTTATTATGTCCACAGATTTCTGAGGCTTTGTTCACTTTTCTTCATTCTTTGTATTTTTTGTACTTCAAATAGAATAATTTCCGTTGATCTGTCATCAACTGTACTAATAGTTTCATCCATCATCTCATACCCATTTTTGAATCCTTCTAGTGGATATTTAGTTTTAGTAATTGTACATTTTATCTACAGAATTTCCATTATGTAATTTTGTTGTTCACTTTCTTTTTATTGAGATTTTCTATTTAAAAATCTGATTAATAATTACTGTCATACTTTCTTTTAATTATGTATATGCATTCAATTATTTGACCATATTTTTGTAGTGATGGTTAAGTCTTTTTGTCTGCTGAATCCAGCATCTGGGTCATTCAGAGAGTTTCTACAGACTGATTTTTTTCCCCAAGTAACATTTTTCTGTTTCTTTGCAGGCCTTGTGCATTTTTGTTGAAAACTATACATTATAAAAAATATATTTTAGATACTCAGCATTTTATATGTGCAGCTTTATTAAACTATCTTGGCTTTTTGATCTGATTTGTTTTAGTTATTGTTTTAAATATATGTATAAAAATATTTCCACTGCCTTGGCTACTTGCCTTTTACTCTATAAATAAATTCTTCCATATTAATAGAGTTTAATTTTCATTGTGATGTTCAGAACCCTTTGTGTCCTATTTAAAAACGATTGTTGCTAATAAGTTTACATTTTATTATTCTACCTTTCAAATTTTCTATATTTTGATGATTTACCTTATGTTTTAAACTATGAATTTTTGCAATACTAAATATAATACACTGTTCCTTTTTCTGTTTATCACACAATGCTAGAGATTTAGATATAACTCCATTGATTCAGTCTATGTTTTGTATGAGTATTGCCATACATTTATATTTAAATTTATCAATAAAATGTTGGTGTTGTGCAGCCAAAATTTAATCACTATTTATAATTATCCACAAATTTCATAATTACTCTCCCCTTTACTTTCTATCATGTTTTGGTTACAATTCTGTTTTCATCTTTTTGTCTAAGAACTATGTTAAAAAAATACACACACAGACATATATATACACACACACGTTGTAAAGTACCTTAATTTTAAGTATACAGCTTATTTAAAGCTTTATATTTATGTACATCAGTAAAACTACCACCCAAATTATGATACAGACATTTTCAGCACTTCAAAATGCTTCCTCATAGTCAAAATATTTAGTTTTACTTGTTGTTAAAACATGTACAAATGAAATCTTACATATAGGCTTATTGTGTCTGCTTTCTTTTTCTGAACATAACAGTAGTGAAATTATCTATATGAATGTTTATATTAGAAGTTTTTCTAAAGCTATACAGTCTTTTATTTTGTAAATGTATTAACATTTGTTAATTAATTTTCTTAATGAATTTTTTTCTAGTTTATAAATATCAGTAATAAAACTTCTAAAGAGTATTTTTGTGTATGCATTGTGGTGAACATGCACAATAATTTGTAAGTGGAAGCACTGGCACTGGGACATAAGTTAGGCATATGATCTGCTTGTTGTCAAACAGTTCAAAATGCTTTTCCATTTTTACGTAGCTGTCAGAAATATTTGATGTTGAAATTTTTCATATGTTTTTTGGTTATTTTGAATGCTTTCTGTTGCAAAACATTCTCTAGGATTTTTGGCTTCTATACCGAATGTTATCTTATAATTATCTCTCTTTGTAATGTATTTGTTAGATTTTAATATCAGTGTTTCAGTGTACTTAAAAAATTAATTCTTCCTTTCATCGTCTCTCCTAATTTCACTTTCTTTCTTTCTGTTTTTCTCACTCCTTTAAATAATCTTAGAGTTATATTCCTTATCCTCTAAATATCTGGAAAACACTGTCAGAGAAACAACTGAACTTGAACTTTTATTTTGGATATATTTTATTATTAAAAATTCAATTTCTTTAATATATTTAGAAGTATTTACATTTTCTAATTCTTTCTACCTGTTTTGGTACGTATTATTTCTCCAAAATACTTTTTATTTTATCTAAGATTTCATCGTATTGCATTTTAAATAATTATAGAATCTCTAATGATATTCTGCTTTTTACATGGCATTAGCAGCTTACATTTTCTCTAATTTTTCTTGATCGATTTTGCTACAATTGCATCATTTTTCTTCCACTTTTAAAAGCATACATTGCTGATACTCTCTTATGAAATTTCTATTTTATTTTTTTCTATTGAATTCCTACTTTTTTCTATTTTTTTCAATTTAGTCTGTTTTAAAAATATCAACTTTACATTTATGTTTTAAAAAGCATTGTTTATTGAAGAGTGTGTTGATCGATCATTTCCAAACATGTAGAGATTTATTAGCTGGCTTTCTGTCATCTATTTAAAATTGAATTTCACGGTGACTAGAATATATATTCTGTATAATTTCAATGTTTTAAATGTATTTTATAACACAGCACAGTCAATTTTTAAATGTATCATGTGCATTGGAGAGAATTGGCATTCTGTAGTTGAGCTTGGTATTCTATGCATTTCTATCAGGTCAATTTAATTGCTCATGTTGTGATTTTATTTTTCTTGGCTTAGTCTATCAATTATTCAGGAAGCTTTTATAAACCTCCAGCTATATTTGTAAAACTTATTCTCTCTCTTCCATCAGCTTTCTTATAAGTATTTTGAAGCTATTTTATTAGGAAGATACACTTTTGAGACTATTCTTTCTTCCTATTTATTATTTTACCAGAAAAAAATAATTCTTGTTGTTGATTTAATTGGTAAATATTTTTTACTAGTCCTCACATGTTTGCCCTTGTGGCTGTTATTCTTTTTGTTTGTTTGTTTTTTTCCTGATTTACAGTTTTCTTTTATTCTACCTTGTTCATACAGGATAAAACAAAACAGAATAATATTTTGCACAAAAACTCAGATAACATGGCTTACAACAAAATACAGTGAGTCATCCTCATGAGCACGTGGACTTGCTGTATCTCTGTCACCTTTAATTTTTTTTAAGTAAAGAGCTACAAAGATGGAAAAATCAGCTGTATGAAAGGCTGTTGACAGTAAGATTTCTGAGGACTTACCAAAGTGGTGGCTGTTGGTGACCTTGACAAAAGCATTATCAATAGGATCAAATGCCTGAATAAAATGGGTTTTATAAAAGGAAAAAATGGGGTGTTGTTCTTTATTATCTTCTGTTTCCATTTGGAATAACTTTATTTCACTTAAAAATTATTTCAGTATTTCCCATTTTGTGGTTTGACAGATTCTCACATTTTTCAAGACCTTTGTCAATAACATCTCTATTTTCCTGTATATTTTTGACAATTTTTTCCTAAGAAGAGAAATTTAAATATTTACATTTTTCTTTCATATTTTTAATATGTCATTCCATTTCCCCTGCTTTTATAGCTTCTTTTAATAGTTTGCAATAGTTCTTAGTGTTGTTCCTTTGAGCATGGTGTGCCTGTGTGTGAGTTTCTCTGCATTTTTTTTTTTTTGGCTTGGGATCTTGTAACCTTGGTTGTGTTTGTTGAGGACTCATCAGTTTTAGAAAAGTTTTAGTCACAACCTTAAGATATTTATTCTATCTAGGCTCTTCTCTTTTTTTTTTTTTGGAATTTTGACTGTATTATGTTTTACACCATTTGATTGGGTTTCGCAAGTATCCTACGATCTGATCTGTATTCCTAATTTTTTTCTCTGTCTGTGCTTTAGTTTAGACAATTTATATTGATGTGTATTTGAGTTTACCAATCCTGTCTTCTGCTTTGTCTAATATGCTCTTAAATTTTCCTTATAAATTCTTATTATATTTTCACAGTTTGTGGGTTTTTAGAAATCCAATAGTTTCTATTTTTACTAATTTAAATTTCTCTTAAAATATTTTGTTAAATGATTTTTCTTTTAAAATTTTCTTTCACCTATTAATCACATTTTTGAAGTATTTTTCTAACTTCAATATGTAGATTTTTCTATGGGCCTGCTTTATTTTGTGAATTTTTACTATTGATTGTACTTTCTGACTCTTTGCATATGAATAAATGGATGATAGAAACTGAAAAGGATATTATTTTCCACAAGGGAGGGTTTTGCTTTTTCCTGCAGGCAGAAAGGATGAAGTGCTGATTGTATTAATTCAATTATTAATTGAGTTATTATTGCCTTGGTTTATAGATAGACCTCATTTTCTTTTTCTCATCACTGTTTCTGGGCTGTGGACTTCCCAAAGTTTTGATTAGGAGGCTGGTCTCTTGTCTCTGTCTCTCTCACCCCATCTAGCCCTTTAAACATGCAGGCAATTAAATTTTAACTCTTTGGAGGTGTGAACTCAGCTTCATTTCCCATACATCTTCAAACTGCGGTAAATATTTTTTCTTTTTAAATTTAAATAATTGAATTTTATTAGTTTTCCCAGGATTCTATTCTGTTTAAATATTTAACCTATAACAATATAAAAGATAAATTTGTTTTTAGTTCAAAGTTTTTTTTTTTTGTTTTTTTTTTATACTTTAAGTAGTGGAATACATGTGCAGAAAGTGCAGGTTTGTTGCATAAATATACACGTGCCATGGTGGTTTGCTGCACCCATCAACCCTTCATCTACATTAGGTATTTCTCCTAATGCTATCCGTCCCCTAGCCCCCTACACCCCAACAGGTCCCGGTGTGTGATGTTTCCCTTTCTGTGTCCATGTTGTCAGGCCTCTGAGCCCAAGCTAAGCCATCCTATCCCCTGTGACCTGCACGTACACATCCAGATGGCCGGTTCCTGCCTTAACTGATGACATTCCACCACAAAAGAAGTGAAAATGGCCTATTCCTGCCTTAACTGATGACATTGTCTTGTGAAATTCCTTCTCCTGGCTCATCCTGGCTCAAAAGCTCCCCCACTGAGTACCTTGTGACCCCCACTCCTGCCCACCAGAGAACAACCCCCTTCGACTGTAATTTTCCTTTCTCTACCCAAATCGTATAAAATGGCCCCACCCTTATCTTCCTTCGCTGACTCTCTTTTCGGACTCAGCCCGCCTGCACCCAGGTGAAATAAACAGCCATGTTGCTCACACAAAGCCTGTTTGGTTGTCTCTTCACACAGATGCACATGAAACATGTGTTCTAATTGTTCAGTTCCCACTTATGAGTGAGAACATGCAGTGTTTGGTTTTCTGTTCTTGTGTTAGTTTGCTAAGAATGATGGTTTCCAGCTTCATCCATGTCCCTGTAAAGGACATGAACTCATCCTTTTTTATGGCTGCATAGCATTCCACGGTGTATATGTGCCACATTTTCTTTAATCAGCCTATCATTGATGGACATTTTGGTTGGTTCCAAGTCTTTGCTATTGTGAACAGTGCCACAATAAACATAGGTGTGCATGTGTCTTTATAGTAGAATGATTTATAATTCTTTGAGTATAAACCCAGTAATGGGATTGCTGGGTCAAATGGTATTTCTAGTTCTAGACCCTTGAGGAATCACCACACTGTCTTCCACAATGGTTCAACTAAATTACTCTCCCACCAACAGTGTAAAAGCATTCCTACTTCTCCACATCCTCTCCAGCATCTGTTGTTTCCTGACTTTTTAATGATTACCATTCTAACTGGTGTGAGATGGTATCTCATTTTGGTTTGGATTTGCATTTCTTTCATGACCAGTGATAAGGAGCTTTGTTTCATGTTTGCTGGCTGCATAAATGTCTTCTTTAGAAGTGTCTGCTCATATCCTTGGCCCACTTTTTGATGGGGTTGTTTGAAGGGGTGGCTGCCCCTCCACACCTGTGGGCGTTTCTCGTCGGGTGGAATGAGAGACTTGAGAAAAGAAAGAGACACAGAGACAAAGTATAGAGAAAGAAAAGTGGGCCCAGGGGACTGGCGCTCAGCATACAGAGGACCCGCGCAGGCACCAGTCTCTGAGTTCCCTTAGTATTTATTGATCATTATTGGGCGTTTCTTGGAGAGGGGGATGTGGCAGGACAATAGGGTAATAGTGGAGAGAAGGTCAGCAGGAAAACCTGTGAACAAATGTCTCTGCATCATAAACAAGGTAAAGAAAAAAGTGCTGTGCTTTTGATGTGCATATACATAAACATCTCAATGCCTTAAAGAGCAGTATTGCTGCCAGCATGTCCCACCTCCAGCCCTAAGGCGGTTTTCTCCTATCTCAGTAGATGGAATATACAATCGGGTTTTACACTGAGACATTCCATTGCCCAGGGACGAGCAAGAGACAGATGCCTTCCTCTTATCTCAACTACAAAGAGGCCTTTCTCTTTTACTAATCCTCCTCAGCCCAGACCCTTTATGGGTATCGGACTGGGGGACAGTCAGGTCTTTCCCTTCCCATGAGGCCATATTTCAGACTATCACATGGGGAGAAACCTTGGACAATACCTGGCTTTCTTAGGCAGAAGTCCCTGCGGCCTTCTGCAGTGTTTTGTGTCTCTGGGTACTTGAGATTAGGGAGTGGTGATGACTCTTAACAAGCATGCTGCCTTCGAGCATTTGTTTAACAAAGCACATCCTGCATAGCCCTTCATCCATTTAACCTTGAGTTGACACAGCACATGTCTCTGCGACACAGGGTTGGGGGTAGGGTTACAGATTAACAGCATCTCAAGGCAAAATAATTTTTCTTAGTACAGAACAAAATGGAGTCCCTTATGTCTACTTTCTACATAGACACAGTAACAGTCTGATCTCTCTTTCTTTTCCCACAGTTGTTGGGTTTTTTTTCTTGTAAATTTGTTTAAGTTCTTTGTAAATTCTGGATATTAGCTTTTTGTCAGATGGCTAGATTGCAAAAATTTTCTCCCATTCTGAAGGTTGCCTGTTCCCTTTGATGATAGTTGCTTTTGCTGTGCAGAAGCTCTTTAGTTTAATTAGACCCCATTTGTCAATTTTGGCTTTTGTTGCCATTGCTTTTGGTGTTTTAGACATGAAGTCTTTGCCCATGCCTATGTCCTGAATGCTATTACCTAGGTTTTCTTCTAGGGTTTTTATAGTTTTATATCCCACATGATCTGTTCTACTATTTTGACTTTTTCCTCCTTCCTCTGTTTACTCCAGTCCTATCCTTTTTGTTGTTTTATAAGCAATCCAGGATACTTCCTACCTCTTGGAATTTGTTCTTGGCTATACCTTTTTTCCAGAAAGCTCTTCCTTTAGGAATTTTAATGGCACTCAGATTCTTACATCATATTTCTTTATCTCCTAAAAATTTTATCATACTAGTGACACAAGTTCAAAATCTGTGTCATTGTAAATGCTTTTCTCTCAAAATCAAAACAAAAACCACAAGTCTAATGATTTCTGAAGTCCTTTTGATGATTTTCATTAATTTTCTCTGGAATATGTCTCATTCTCTCTGTTACTCACCCATAGCACTTCTTATCTGTCTCGTAGTATTCTTTTCCCTATAGGTTCAGAGTAATTTTTCCCAACCTGTTATTTTACCTACCAATATTTTGATAACAATGGAATCATGGAAACTTTCCCAAAGCATATAATTCACATTTCATTTAGAGCTTCATTTATTAGCCATTGAGCCTTAAAACGTGTTATCTTATCATTAAAGGACTTTCATACATTTGGTTCTATATAATCTGCCAGCCAACCTTATTGTCTATTGAAATGCCTAACCTTGTTTTTACTCTAACTAACTCCTTACTTTGAATTTTGTCCTGCTTGTCTCTTTAATCACCTAGCCTTGCTTCTCATGTGAATAAGACTCTCTCTAGCTGGGAAGGCTGGACAAACTCCAATTGACCCCTGAATTTACAAGACACTAAGGGCTCCTTACCCAACCCCCTTTCCTAAGGAGTTGGCATGGGTAAACAGATCCTCAGCATTTTAAAAGAGCCCAATTAACTGATAAGGTACTAACACCATCTACGTATGAAGTTCCCAGGATTTTTCTCAAAGAGATAACAACATAAAGCCTTGAGTTCGTGTCCGTCCGGCATAGACCCTATATCTAATTATAATGAAAGATTTAGAACCTTGCACCTGGTACCATTGCTCTTCTTATAACCATTTGTCTTTTAAGTTGTTTATCTCTCTGTAACCATTTTGCTTCTTTTGATTCTTGCATGTTTTTACTTCTGTAGAATTATTGCATTTAAGTCCCCCTCCCCTTCCTAAACCTAGGTATAAAAGTTAATCAAGCCCCTTCCTTGGGGCTGAGAGAATTTTGAGCATTAGCCGTCTCTTTGGCAGCCAGCTTAATAAAGGACTCTTAATTTGTCTCAAAGTGTGGCATATGTTTTGACTCACTTGGGCACAACATATTGCTTTTGCTTAAAAATTCCATGCTAGAGCCAAACATATACTTTTTAATCTTTAAATAATCCCTCCCTTTTACCAGATTTATCCATTCTTCTTTCCTCTAACAACTTTTTGTTCACAGTTTAAGTGTTTTTAGGTTTATATCACACATACAAAGTGACTGGCACAGTAGAAGTGTGTTGAATGAGTAAACATAAATAATAATAAGAGTAAATTATAAATACTATAGTTTATAGTAAACCATAAATAATAATAAATTACTATGGAAAAGGACTCATTTCCTATAGCCATTTTTTCTAAGATACTATTAAGAAATGCAAATTAAAGACAAAATGGAAGATATTCATTTTTAATTGAATGACAGCCCTTTTAGAATAAGACATAATAGTATAATCTAAGAAAGTCATACCATGGGAACATGTGAATTTTTATCTGAAAATTTCCTCTGAGATGAATTAATAAACACCTATTGTTAGAGTATTACTTTGATTTGAATCAGTGACACCTTCTTTAAATCCATGGTGAGCTTTTTCAGAGTTCAGCATGAAAATCTGTTAGAAAAAAAAAGTCTCATCTTTTGAAATAATGATTTTATTAAGTCATCAACACAATAAATTGTGAAATAAAGTGATTTTCAGTCTTCAAGTCAAACTCATCATTCCTGATCCAAACTGTACAAGAGCATCTGGAGTATAGTTTTATTTATAATTGTTTGATATCATTTTAAAGATAGGCCATATATTTGCAGGTAAATGTTAGGTTAGCAAAGCTATATGCAGGACTGAGTCAAGTGGGGTTTTTCCCCCACCATATCAACCTTTTGGCTGCATCTTTTACATCCTTATTTCTCAGGCTATAAATAAGTGGGTTTAGCATGGGGATCACCAGTGTATAAAACACAGCCAAGACCTTCTCCTGTTCCAAGGAATACTGAGAACTTGGCTGGATATAACTAAAAGAAACAGACCCATAGAATAAGGTCACCGTGGTTAGGTGGGAGACACAAGTGGAGAAGGCTTTGTACCTTCCCTCAGCTGCATGGATTCTCTGGATGGCAATGATGATGCAGATATAAGACACCATAATGACAATGAAAGTGAACATTGCAATGAGCCCAGAGAAGACCAAGGGCAGCATTTCATTGATATGAGCATCAGAGCAAGAAAGCCTCAGAAGAGGAGGAACATCACAGAAATAATGATTCACAATATTAGGACCACAGAAGTCTAATTTGAGCAAACCTATTGTGTGTGTCAGGGAATTAATGAGCCCACCTAAGTAAGAAGCAAGGACCATCTGAATACAAACTTTTTGGGCCATAATGACTGTATACAACAAGGGATTAGCTATGGCCACGTAATGGTCATAAGCCATCATGGACAGGAGAATGTCCTTTGTGGTTACATATACTGCAAAAGGGAAACTCTGTAGAACACAGCCAGAAAATGTACTGGACTTATGTTTTGATAGGAAATTGACTAGCATCTTAGGAGCAAAGACAGTAGAGTAGCAGATATCACAAAAGGAGAGGTTGCCAAGGAAGAAGTACATTGGAGTATGAAGTTGGGCATTTAACCAGATTAAAATAATTATACCCAAATTATCCAACAAAGTGATGAAATAAATCAGAGTGACAAGCAAAAAGAGTGGGATCTGCAAATTAGGATTTTCAGTTAACCCTACCAGGAGGAATTCCTTTGCACCTGTATGATTCCAGCCTCTCGTTTTTACTCAGGTATATATAATTCCTTAGTTGCAGAACAAGATATTACTCTGATGGAAAAGGAATGATTCCTTCATGATCCAGTATCCAGAACAGCATGGGACATTTAGGGTTACCCTGTACTTAAATAAAGAAAGAACATTTACTTTAGAAGTGGCTCATATATGTGCTAGACAATCTATGTATAGTGATTCAAATTTTTGGTACTAGAGATTGTTTTATTCCTTGGTTTTTAGTTTTCACATCACAAAATGTGGGAGGGGGGTAAGAAAGCTCTTATATTTCAAAACTATTAAAGGTAGAATTAACATTTAAATCCCGATGTGACTGGTAGCAAATCTCAAGTAGAATGAGTAGAATGTCCACTCATCCTATGACATATATAAGCCTTCTGCTAATGTGGGTTACAAACAGGAGCATCTAGTGACAACAAATCTTCCCTTGTTCCGTGACTAACCTGTCCCTATTATTTCATACCCATTTAAGCTCATGAAAATGAGTTTCATCAAATGCAGCCCCATTTCTTTCCAAATCTCAACCTTAGACCTCTTTTTGCCTCACCTTCTGCCCTGATTGCCAACGTGAAAGAGCAATGATTGTGCCCTCCAGTAAAATTGAGTTGAGAGAAAAAGGCAGGTCATTCCTTTTATTTGCTATTTAGTATTAAGGCTGATCAAAAATAGCAGTGTTAACTCTACAACCTTTTCTTTTGCAGCTTTGTGTAACTTTGCTTTTGCATCTTGTTTTTTACCAGCATTGAAACAAACCTGAACACCCATTATAAAGAGTCGAGGTATAGTGTGAGGCACCAAAACTATATCTATTGTATGTTTCTTGTTTGCAAAATCATAGACTGCCACTTAGTTTCACATGTTTTTGACATGATGTGCTACAAATTCAATAACATTTACTTATTTATTTATTTATTTATTTATTTATTTATTTACTGGTATTTTTAGTAGAGATAGGTTTCACCATGTTGGCCGGGCTGATCTCGAACTCCTAACCTCAGGTGATCTGCCTGCCTTGGCCCCCCAAAGTCCTGGGATTACAGGCATGAGCCACTGTGCCCAGCCTTACTACTATTATTTTTTTAGACAGGGCCTCACTCTGTCACCCAGGCTGGAGTGCAATGGTGTGATCTCGGCTCACTGCAACCTCTGCCTTCCAGGTTCAAGCGATTCTCCTGCCTCAGCCTACTGAGTAGCTGGGACTACAGGCGTTTGCCACCATGCATGGCTAATTTTTGTATTCTTAGTAGAGACGGGGGTTTCACCATGCCGGCCAGGCTTGTCTCAAACTCTTGACCTCGTGATCCACCTGTCTCGGCCTCCCAAAGTGCTAGGATTACAGGCGTGAGCCACTACACCCTGACAATTGAACATTTGTAATGAAATATCAACAATTTAATTCATTCACATATATATCATGCATTCGATAAACATGTATTTCTACTCTAGCAAGAAATATTCTATTTGCTAGAGATAAAACGTGAAAAAGACAATTGTCATGCTTTCAAGGAGCTCACATTCAGTTAAGAAAATAAACATGTCTTGATATACTGTATAAAATGATAAGAACTATGAAGAAAAATAAATAAGGAAAGGTGAATAGAAAGAGGTGGTAGGTACTCTATTATATGTGTATACGTTTTCTATTGCTGCTATAACAAGTTACCCCCAAATGAGAGGCTTAAAACAATAACTGATTATCTTACAGTTTGGAGGTCAGAAGCCAGAAATCAGTTTGCTGGGTCAAACTCAAGTGTGCGTGGGGCCACACTTCTTCTGAAGGCTTTAGGAGAGACTCTGTTTTACTGCCTTTTCAAGCTTCATGAACAGTGCTATTTTGGCCCCTTCTATCTTCAAAGACAGCAGCGTAGCACTTTCATTAGTCATCACACTGCTTTCTTCTTCTATAGAAAAATCTCCCTTTGCCTCCCTCTCACATTTAGTATTTACCCAGATAATCCCAAGTAATCTCCCTTCCTCAAAATCCTTGACTGACTCATCTCTGAAAAGTATTTTCTGTTATATAAGGTAGCATTCACAGGTATGGGATTAGGATTTGAATATCACAGGGGCCACCGTTTAGTCTACTACATATAGGTTGTTCAAAAAACCTCTATATAAGATGAAATCTGAACAGAAAGCTGATGTAAGTGGTTTGACTAAATATGTGGCTATCTACAGAAAGACTTTTTTAGGAAGATGGCACAGCAAGTTCAAAATCCTGAGGTGGGATCATGTTGAACAAGAAACTTCTGGAGATTGACTGAACTGCAGAGAACAAGATGGAGAGTGGCCAGTGGGGAATAAGAGATGCTGTGTTTATGACACCTTGCCTTGTTTGAGGTTTGGATGCTTTCTCAGTGAGATGGGAAGTTGCTTTGCATATATACTCTATTACATAGTGTTTAACTGTGTAATAGGATCCACATATTTGACTTATATTTTACACCTCTGAGAATAAATCTCAGCAAGGCAAGAGCAGAAACAGGGAGGCTATCTAGGAGGCTATTTCAGTTATCCACTGGAGAGATGACTATGTCTTACATTAAGGTGGCAGTAGGAAAAACTATAAGGAGTGACTCTATTCAGTAACCATTTTGAGGTAGGAACCAAAAAGATGGAGAGTTGAACATGAAATAAAATATTATTCTAAGGGCATGTGTGTGTGTGTGTTTGTGTATATTTTTTGAATGAGGTTGTTATTTTCCAAGATGTAGGAGACATGAGAGAATGTATTTGGCAAAACTTTTTTTAAAATTAGATCTATTACTTCGGGAATTATACAGATTGGGTTGGAATTTAGTATTTGATTGTAAGATGTAAAAGTCTTGAACTTGAAAAGATACAAATTTGGAGATGATCTAATAAGTGTCATGACCAAATCTGGATCTTTGCTTAAAAATGTGAAATCACTTCATAGTAATTGCTTTTTAATTCATGACTCCAAGGGAACATTTGAAAATATGCAATCATCATTCATCAATAAAACAATTGGAGATAAGGTTGGTGAGAGAAATCACAAAGTTAAAGGCATTTTTTATTATATTAAAAAGGGAATCTAGCCAAATGCCCATCAAATGAGTTAAGGATTTTTAAAATAAAACTCTGTACTATAATTTTGTTAACCAAACCTGAAATAGCTCACTATATGCCCTCAAGGAGGTTGGCTCATAAAATGTGGTTATGATGACATAATATTTATAGATGAATTTATTATAAATAGTGCATGTAAATACTGTATTTCATGTACTGTTAATTTTATTATAGAATATTTTGTAGAAATAAGTATGTAACTGATTAAACATATGAAACATATTACATATGTAAATTCATGATATACTTTCTTAAGAATATACATGCACTTATACTTTTAAAACAGTATGTACTGAAGATTTATGTATAAAAACTGTTTGTAAGACAAAAATGGCCAAAAGTAAAATATGCAAAATAAATAAAAATTTGACAAACAGCAATAACAAAATTGTAAAAATACACCATCAAAAAATGGTCTTTTTGAAGTCTATTTTATGCAGGCACTCTAAAATTGTAGTGGAAAGAATGAACAATTTGTTATAGTAAAAAAAGTCCTGGGCTCTGGGAATAAAGTATCTGTGTGGATGTCCTGGTTTTGTTAAACACAAGATGTAGTGAAAAATAATCAGAGAAAACATAAACTAGTTCTTACAATGTTATATTGATATCATAAAAGAACATTACATCTATGTGATTTCCAAAGACTGTCATGTATAAAATGGGGAAGATGTTCTTTTCCTTGTCATGTAGTTAACATGCATTGCAATTCAATTATATTACATTATTATACATTATATTATTATACTATTTATTATATAATATATTATGCGATATAATTATATACAATAATTATATAAAACAGTATATATTATAATAATTATATAATATAATAATTATTATACATTGTTATAACTCCCATTATCCCAAAGCAGTATTAGACACATAATACAATGTAGGGAATTCACATATGTTTCACATGATTTATTGATTTTTACATAAGGTTGATGAATTATTTGTATGCTTGGATGCTGTTAAGTTCTGTTGTTAGAATTGTAACAGGAAAGCAGAGTGTTATATGCAAATAAATGAAATAATAAAGTTAAATTGTACAAGTAGCTCTAAGTTACTATATAAACTAAGTATTAAATACCATAAACATCCACACACAAAAAAATATTGGTTATAGGTGTTATGTAAATATTGCCCTTTTTCGTGAAATGAGAAGACCATTGAAAAATAAACAAACTACAGTTTAAGAAATTGTTTTCTGGCTGTTCAGAAGCAATGCTAAGATCATACAGTCAGTAACAGATTATTCTAGCTTGAAGAGGTAACAGGAAATAACAGAAGTGTAAAAGAAACTTGCACTACCACTTCCTAAACATACTCACAACTAAGAGGAGTCCACAGATATTCTAGCATGAGGAGGTAACAGGGATTAAGAGAAGTGTAAAAAAAAACTTACACTACCACTTCCTAAACATACTCACAAATAAGAGGAGTCCAAATTAAGCAGAGCACCTAGTGCAGACAACCAGGATTTCATGATGGTTAAAGGACTTATTGTTGGGAATAGAGACTTTTTATGTGTAGTTTCTTTTCACTGGGGACACAGGCTGCAGCTTATTGTGCAGATGTGAGTCTTCAGTGTCCACCAGTTGCATCATTGGCATCCTTTCTTGTCTCCTGAGACTGGAACTAATCATAAAGCTACACATTCTCTCAATCGTTGTTCAGTAGATGCCTCTGATTTCACATGGATAAAATGCGAAAATTTTATTCTTTTTATAAATGTGAAAATTATACTCAGAGACAATTTTTTAAGTATATTTTATTTATATATCAAAGATCTAGGGATAAAACCAAATTGCAGATATTAAATGCAATTGCAGGAACAAAATAAATGGTTCCAATCACATATTTGCTACTCAGACAAGCATTCAAATGTGCTAATGATGGAACAGCTGAAGTTTTCTTTCTTATAAAGTGGGAATATTCACATATTTGAAATTGATGTAGATTAATGCATCATGTTATACTCCAAAACTTTAATAATCTCTTATTGAATTAGTTTTATGAGTACGATTTTACACACACACACACGTGCACACACACACACACACACACAGGGAATTAATTGAATTCCGTGCTCTCTTTCTGTCTTATTTATACTGAAAATGTATGCTATTCTCCCTGATAACTCAGTAGACACTATAGATCTGTGAATTATGTCTTACACATTTTTTCTAACTCCCATTATCCCAAAGCAGTATTAGACATATATTACAACGTAGGGAATTCACATACATTTCACATGATTTATTGATTTTTACATAAGGTTGATTATTTGTGTGCTTGGATGCTTTTGTTAAGTTCTGTTGTTAGTATTGTAACAGAAAAACAGGGTGTTATATGCAAATAAATGAAATAATAAAGTTAAATATCAATTCAAATATTGTATAAAGTTCACAGAATGATGGCAAAACTACATATAGTGTGAAGATCCCAATAGACCAACATAAGAATGCCTTTGGATGCAAATGGAAGATATTGCTATGTAAAAAAGAGAAAAATAATTTAAACCCAGCAACACAGTCAATTAATGAATGGAGGTAGGGAAGAATTAATGAATGGAGATTAATTAATTAATGGAGATTAATTATTAATTAATTAATGGAGAAATAGAGCATTATTAAATGAAATCAAATCAATGGTACATGCTATAAACCAACCTCTTTATTATTTGCGAAGTCACTGTTACGGTAACTCAAAGAAGGGATCAGTCGGTGTCAATTGTAAGAAGAAAATCTTGTACGCTAGCCAGGAATCTCTTGGCAGATACACAACTTCGGTCTTTTGAGAGACATTGCCTGTAAGAGAATTTGGTAGATAGATGATCAGACTGATCATATTTGTGAAACAAATGTCAAATATATAATTCAGAAATTGATTTAGAGCTGGGTTATTTTTGAATTAAAAATATAATGTGATTTATTGTGTTTTTAAACAGTATTGAAGTAATTACGATAATGTGAAATTTACCATATTTATAGATTAATGTATTTAATATACAAAAAGTACTTATATTCTTGTGTTGATATTTTTTCTTGGTCAGATACATAAAAAGCTTAAGAAGAAAATTAAAAGGGATTTATAAATTCAATTTAAAATATTGAGTTTAATTAAAGATTGTATGCATTAGGAAACTTTGAGCCCTTGCGAAAGTGATTGTAAAGATCTGCTTGTTATATAATTAGAATAATATATTTGGCAACTTGAATCATAACTTAAAAAAATTTGATTATTGTGTTTGTTACAGTAAAACACTACCTGTTAGGTAAAATGAAATAGTTAATTAACAATGCATAGTCTTTTCTATGCAGAAAAGCCATTCTTGAAAACAACAAATTACTGACATCAAAATAAAATAGATGAAACTATTTGTTCAATATTTCAAAGCAGATTTACTATCTACACTGGTTAAATTCCTTAGTAATATTTTAAGTTTAGCATACTGATAACTTTTTGCTAATTAAATGCTTATAATTTCTGTACATCTAGAGTCTTACATATCATTGGTGAAACTTTGATGATATTGGATTAAAAATTTATATCTTAGTCTATGTCTCCCATGAAATCTAGTGCTAGACAGAAATAAACAAGGAAATAAAAAGAAGAAAGAGAGGGGGGCAGGGAAGAAAGGAAGGAAGGAAGGGAGGAAGGGAGGGACGGAGGGAGGGAGGGAGGGAGGGAGGGAGGAAGGAGAGGAATATAAAAGACCTAATTACAATTTCAGCAGTTGTATTTCTACTGGGTAGAGGTAACTAAGCTGATAAAAACAATTTGAGCTCTGCCAGCCATGTTATGCCAAAAAGCCAAAAAGATCACCCAGCTCCTGGAGACAAATGGATTATCCTGGGAAGCTTGGCCTGGGCCGGAAAGGTTGTTTTACATTAAAATAATTCTCTTAAGCAGCCAGGGTGATACATGCATCCTGACCAACATATACTGTTATGTGTAGATCAACATCGGCAGTCCCCTGCACTTGAGAAAAGTCCACGTGATCATCTTAAGTATTCATTCAGCACCCTTGGATATTTTCTTTTGCAAGAATCTTGGTCCCTGGTTCAGTAGAAGGGTTCAGTGTTGCCATACCTTTCTTCCCTGGGTCCACTATTCTATAGGTAAATACTTCTTTCCTAAGGCCCTTTTTAATTAAAATGATATAGATCACTGATCTAATGACCTGTAAATCACTATGAAAGCTGCCATTTTTTATTATTATTATTTTTCACTTTAAGTTCTGGGATACATGTGCAAAACTTACAGGTTTGTTACATAGGTATACATGTGCCATGGTGGTTTGCTGCACCCATCAACCCATCAACTACATTAGGTATTTCTTCTACTGCTATCCCTCTCCTAGCCTCCCACCCCCCAACAGACCCTGGTATGTGATATTCCCCTCCCTGTGTCCATGTGTTTTGTTGGTGGGAGTGTAAATTAGTTCAACCATTGTGGAAAAGTGTGGTGATTCCTCAAGGATCTAGAACCAGAAATACCATTTGGCCCAGCAATCTCATTACTGGGTATATACCCAAAAGATTATAAATCATTCTACTATAAAGACACATGCCACATGTATGTTTATTGTAGCATTGTTCACAATAGCAAAGACTTGGAACCAATCCAAATGCCCATCAATGATAGACTGGATAAAGAAAATGTGGCACATATACATCATGGAATACTGTCCAGCCATAAAAAAGGATGAGTTCATGTCCTTTGCAGGGACATGGATGAACCTGGAAACTATCATTCTTAGCAAACTAATACAAGAACAGAAAACCAAACACCATGTGTTCTCACTCATAAGTGGGAGTTGAACAATGAAAGCTGTCATTTTTAAGAGAAGGGAGGAATAAAAGTTAAGGGCAAATTTGTCCAACACTAAGTCTTTGCTGGCTGTTCTCTTGTGAACCTCTATAAAAACTTGATAGAGGTTAGAGAAATCAATTATAACATTCTGTTAATTCTATCTATTATGATAGATTGCTGTGATGGAATAAAGATGACTGTAAATTCATGGACACTTCTCAAGATGAAAAGTTGGATTTCCTTTGAATACAGGGTATCATTGGTGACTTGCTTTTTCCTCAGAAGACAACAAGAATGATGGATAATGTTTTGGGACCCCTCCCAGTTAGGACATGGGAGGCTAGCAGTGTCTGCTGTGATCTTTGGAACACTTGCTGCTTGACTACCCTAAGGCCATTTCTGGAAGAGAACATGTGGAAAGACCAAAAGGAGATGCACTTACACTAAATAAAAAAGAGACACTCAGCAAACTTCAAGCTATTCCAGCCCCAGATGTTCAAGTGATTTCAAATGATACTCTGGATGTTGGGGTGCAGAGAGTCTTCATTTTTATCCAACCCTGCCCAAATTCATGAGTCAAATGAATGGCAATTGCTAGTTTAAGCCACTAAATTTTGTAGCAGAGCACCATATAACCAGAACAAATGCTGAGGTAGCAGCTCAGATCACATGTCTCACAGTTTGTACAGCTGTAACTGCAAGACTTGGACCTCAGCCCTTGCTTGCACCTGAGGTGTGGTGGTGCTGCTTCCTGGCAATGTCAGGATTCTGTTCCAATGAAAGGTCTCAATTGCAAGGCTTGTTTTTCAGCCTTTATTTCAAGTTATAGAAGAAATTGGAGCTCTCAGAACTAATGAATTTTGAGTTTGCTGAAAAGGGCTCGATCCCAGAGTTTGGCCAGGGTTGTTATTGGATCCCATATTCAGATCAGCTTAAAGAGGATCTATTGCTTCCAGATTATGTTAAAAGCTACATATCCTGCCTTTCATTAATGAAGGTGGATATGACCAGATTGCTTTTGCATTACTTTAACATGGAATGAACTACAAGAGCAGTGCATCTGAGAACTCCTCCACCTCTGTGAATTTTCCTCCAACAAGTACTGTTCCAAAACTGCATGTTGTGTGGAGGTGGGATGGTGGCAGAGAAGAGGTATCAATTCCCAACCCAAATGCTATTACATAAAGTTAACAATACTTAAATGCTGATATGAAATCAATAAATCTTATGTCACATGATGAAGGAAAAGGAAATAAAATGAAGATATTTCTTCGTACAAGTGTATACATGCACAAACATGCTTTTAACAAAAGAAAAAGGAAATACTCATGACAATTACATCCCTCATATCTGCAACTGGTCATGTGGTCGTAGCTGGTATTGATGACTACCTTCTTCTGCTACACATTCTGTATTCCCTTTGCCTTCAGGAAGAACCTCAGCAAGTCATGTTTTTTTTTTTTTTGTTTTGTTTTTTTTTTTTTTTTTTGCTGGTGGAGTGACCCAAACCTTCAGCCCTGAAGAGTCTGGGCCATTTGTAGTCTCAACTGTATTGGTTTGTTGTAGTTTTCCATTCAGCTTAATCACAGGACATGGTAATACTAAGAAACGCCCTAATGGATTGCCTGCATTTTGTGGATATTCTTCCTTACCTCTATCGTGGAGTAGCAAACTGATTTCATCTTGATAGTCCAGGTCAATCACCCCAGCCAACACTGTAACTCCTTTCTTAGCCTGTTGACTTAAAGGTAGGAGGGTCCCAAAGTGTCCAGGTGGTAATTTTAACTTCCCATTTAACGGAATTGTTGTTGTGTCTCCTGGTGTTAGTGTTCTTCCCTCTGGAACTAAGACCTCTAGGCCAACAGAATGTAATATCATGGAAAGAAAAAGCAAAAATTTTGCCAGTGGATCACTAGGGGTGATGGTGAGTGGTGCCACTTCCACTTCCACCTCTTGATTCCTGTACCCATGAATCCTGGCTATGGGAGAAACAGCACCTTATATTGGATGCTGATTCTGAGCATACAGGGCCTTCTGCAGAACTTTGCCACAGCCCTGCAAAGTAACGTAACCTAGTTGGCACAGTAATTGTGACTTCAAAAGGCCATTCTACAATTCTATCAATCCAGGTGCTTCAGAATGATGGAGAACATGGTAAGACCAGTAAATTCCACAAGGATGAGCCCATTGCAGCATTTATTTAGTCATAAAGTGAGTGCCCTGGTCAGAGGCAATGCTGTGTGGAATACCATGATGGTGGACAAGGCATTTCATGAGTCCACAGATGTGGGAGAAGCACTGCATGTAGGATAGGCAAACCCATATCTGGAGTAAGTGTCTATTCCAGTGAGGACAAACCTCTGCCCTTTCCATGATGAAAGAGATCCAATATAATAAACCTGCCACCAGCTAGCTGGCTGATCATCCCGAGGAATGGTGCCATATTGAGGGCTCAGTGTTGGTCTCTGCTGCTGGCAAATTGAAAACTTAGCCATGGCCATAGCCAGGTGAATGGAAGTCCATGTTCCTGAGCCCATGTGTAACCTCCATCCCTGCTACCATGGCTACTTTTTCATGGGCCCATTGGGCGATGACAGGAGTGGCTAGGGAAAGAGGCTGAGTGGTATCCACAGAATGGGTTATCCTATCCACTTGATTATTAAAATCCTCCTCTGCTGTGGTCATCCATTGGTGAGCACTCACATGGTATACAAATACCTTCACAGTTTTTGACCATTCGGAGATGTCCATCCACATACCTCTTCCCCATATTTCTTTGTCACCTATTTTCCAATCATACTTCTTCCAATTTCCTGACCATCCAGCCAAACCATTGACTATAGCTCATGAATCAGTATATGATCGCACATCTGGCCATTTCTTCTTCCATGCAAACTGCACAACCAGGTGCACTGCTCGAAGTTCTGCCTACTGGGAAGGTTTTCTTTACCGCTGTACTTCAGTGATGTCCTAAAATGGGGCTACAGTGCTGCAGCTGTCCACTTTACAGTGGTGCCTGCATATCGTACAGACCCTTCTGTGAACCAGGCCCTAGTCTTCTCTTCCTCTGTCAACTGATCAAAGGAACTCTCCATGAGGCCATCGATGCAGTCTGGGGGAGAGAAGGCGGGGTGGCAAAAGTGAAGGAGGCAATGGGCATTTGTGGCACTTCCTCATGTAACTTACTGGTGCCTTCAAGACCTGCTAGAGACAGATCACGTATATACCACTTCCATTTGATGATGGAATGCTGCTGTGCATGACCCACTTTATGGCTAGATGGATCAGAAAGCACCCAGTTTATGATAGGCACTTCAGGTTGCATGGTGACCTGATGATCTATAGGCAAACGTTCAGTTTCCACCAAAGCCCAGTAGCAGGCAAAGAGCTATCTCTCAAAAGGAGAGTAGTTATCTGCAGAAGATGGCAGGGCCTTGCCCCAACATTCTAGAGGACTCCACTCTGATTCACCTAAGGGGGCCTGCCAAAGGCCACAAACAACATTCTTATCTGCACTGAAACCTCAAGCACATTGGATCTGCTGGGTCATATGGACCAAATGGCAGAGCAGCTTGCACAGCAGCCTGGACCTATTGCAGAGCCTTCTCCTGTTCTGGACCCCACTCAAAACTGGCAGCCTTTGGGGTAACTTGATAAATGGGCCAGAGTAACACACCCAAATGAGGAAGGTATTGCCTCCAAAATCCAATTGGTCTTCCAGGTGTTGTGCCTCTTTCTTGGTTGTAGGCAGCAACTTATCCTTCACCTTAGAAGGAATATCTCAACAGGCCCCACACCACTGGACCCCTACACATTTTACTGAGGTAGAAGATCCCTGAATTTTAGTTGGATTTATTTCCCATCCTCTGGCATGCAAATATCTCACCAATACATTCAGTTTGTTGGCTAGTTCTTGCTCACTGGATCCAATCAACACAATGTCATCAATTTAGTGCGCCAGTGTGATATCTCATGGAAGTAAAAAACGATTGAGATCTCTCCAAACAAGATTTTGACACTAATCTGGAGAGTTGACATACCCATGGGGTTGGACATAAAGGTATATTTCTGGCCATGCCAGCTGAAGGCAAATTCCTTCTGTTGGGCCTTAAGGACAGGAATGGAGAAAAAGCCATTTGCCGATCAATGGCTGCATACCAGGTATCAGGAGATGTGTTAATTTGCTCAAACAATGAAACCACATCTGGTACAGCAGCTGCAATTACAGTGACCACTGGTTAAGCTTATGATAATCCACTGTCATTCTCCAAGATCCATCTGACTTCTGCACAGGCCAAATAGGAGAGTTGTACAGGGATGTTGTAGGAATCACCACCCCTGTGTCTTTCAAGTCCCTGATGTTGGCACTAATCTTCACATTCCCTCCGCTGATGCAATATTGTTTTTGATTTACTATTTCTTTTTAGGTAGAGGCCACTTTAATGGCATCCATTTGGCCTTTCCCACTATAATAGCCCTCACCTACAAGGGAGCTAATGTAGGGGTTCTGCCAGCTGCGAAATATGTCTATGCCAATTATGCTTTCTGGCACTCGGGAAATTACCACAGGATGAGTCCAGAGACCCATTGGACACAAGTCAGATCTGAGCTAAAACTCTATTAATTACCTGTTCTCCATAAGCCCCTACTTTAACTGGAGGACGACAATGATATTTTGGGCCCCCTGGAATCAACATCAGCCCAGAGACAGTGTCCAGTACTCCCCAAAATGTCTGATTATTTCCCTTTCCCCAATGCACAGTTACCCTGGTAAAAGGCCAGAGGTCCCCTTGGGGAAGGATGGGAGAATGATTAACAGCATAAATTATTAGTAGTGTAGTGGGGCCCTTCCTCAAGAGTACCCAACCTCCCCTTCATTCAAGGGGTTTTGGGTCTGTAAGCTGCTTCAAGTCTGGAAATTGATTGAGGGGCCATGATTCTGTGTTTTTATAATTCTAATTACTTTTTTATCTATTTGACCTGGAAGTTTTATGCTTACAAAAATTAAGTAGGAATACAGGAGGCTTCCTATCAATTTTACTTTTAGAAACACCATGATTAATTAGCCAATGCCAGAGCTCTACACAAGTCAGACTATTCTGATGGCCGCTTTGCCTCTGCTGTCCATTAAGGTAGCTATGCCTACCTTGCCTTTGAAGGCTGAGTGCTGCCACTTGGTTCCTGCCACCTAGGGATACAGTTATTCCCAATGTATTTAAATTTGTAGTTGAGTGACTGTGATTCCCATTGTTATATCTGACATATAGAGAAAAGCAATTACAGGGCTCTTCAAAGATGTAGGTGCTGCCCTCACAAATCTATTTCGCAAAGCATTGGTCAAGGGTATATCTTCTGGACCCTCCCAGTTGGAATGAGTAGGTCTAAAGTGACTAATCCACTCCACCACCCCAGTCTCCCTAAGCCTTTGGATCTCTTCCTCTACATTAAACCAAGGGAGATCAGGCATGTCCAGCTCACTCACAGTGGGCCATCTTTTAATCCGTATTTCAGCTAACCAAGCAAATAAACTATTAGGGCCCTTTTTTAACTCCCTTAGCTGCAACATTAAATGCAGAATCCCTACTTAGTGGGCCCAAATCAAAAAATTCCACCGATTCAACTCTATGTTCCTTCCACCATTATCCCACACCCTTAATATCCATTCCTATGCCTGTTCTCTAGATTTCTACTTGTATAAATTAGAAAACTCAAGCAGTTCTTTTTGAATGTAGCATACCTTCTCATGAGTCACACTCTGAACCTCACCTCTGGGAGCCTACCAGGACTTTAGTCTAGTTATAGGCCTAGAAGTAAACAGGAGTGTCTGGGGTGGGTCCAGAGGAGAATCAACATTATCTTGCCTGGCAACTGCCTTAGGAGAGGCCATCACTGATGCCTCAGGCAGCACAGGGTTTATCCCCTCAGACAAAGGTGGAAAAGCAGCATGAGTCGTGCGGAGGATGTTGCCACTACTAGGGGTGGGAAAGCTGTTTCTTCTGGCAAAGAACATTCACCAGTTTACAAACTCAGTGTCCCCGGTTTCATCAGGGCCCTCCCACCATCCCCATTTCAAATTGCCGGGACCCATTCTTTTCCAATCAATGCCCTCACTTTAACAGTAGATACCTGGTGAGGCTGTGCATGCACTTTTGTTGCAGGTCAGCCATTCACATAATAAGAGTTTGTGCCTGTTTTTCCACAATTTCAGCTCTTTTTCTA